>NW_013171802.1:0-245716 GCF_000001405.40 Homo sapiens | reverse complement strand
GATCTCATCTTGAATTGTAGTTCCCATAATTCCCACATGTTGTGGGAGGGACGTGTTCTTGTGATAGTGAGTGAGGTCTCATGAGATCTGATGGTTGGTTGGTTGGTTGGTTTTTGAGACAGAGTCTCACTCTGTTGCCCAGGCTAGAGTGCAGTGGCACAATATCAGCCCACTGCAATATCCACCTCCCGGGTTCAAGCAATTCTTCTGCTTCAGCCTCCTAAGTAGCTTGGACTACAGGCATGTGCCACCACACCTGGCTAATTTTTGTATTTTTAGTAGAGATGGGGTTTCACCATACTGGCCAGGCTGGAATCTGATGGTTTTATAAGAGGCTTTTCCCCCTTTAACTCAGCTCTTCTCCTGGTTGCTGCCATGTGAAGAAGGACGTTTTTGCATCCCCTTTCGCCATGATTCTAAGTTTCCTGAGGCCTCCCCAGTCATGCTGAACTGTGAGTCAATTAAACCTCTTTCCTTTATAAATTACCCAGTCTCGGGTACGTCTTTATTAGCAATATGAGAATGGGCTAATATAGCCCACCTTGAATGAGGTCTCCTTTAACTAAATGCTCTAGAATCTGTTCAAATTACACACAATAAGCACTCTCCTTAATATACCCCAGAGATTCCCTCACTGTAGAGGTTTTAGCAACCTCCTCTCATGCCTCCTGGGGTCTCTGGATCACCTGTAAGTTGCCCACAGGCTTTTGATACAGGAAGCTGCCCTCCTCAGTCCCATGCCACACACCATTTGAACATCAACTGCTGGTTGCACATTGGGCCTTTCTGGAGACAAATACCCTCATGGCCCCTAAGCCTGTGATCCTATGTACCCAGCTGCCTCTTATGCCTTGGATCATTGACACAGCACTCTGCACAATCAGCACAGTTAGTTATAGAGGCCTCTGGACAAAAATGGAAATAGTACTTATAGACCAGAAGCAAACTTAGGCCTCCTGGCATATCCAACCTACAGGAGGAAGTGGTTTCTCCTGTCCTCAGCCCCTTGCCAAAGGTAATGGTGCTGTAGGCCACCCTTCTTCCAGGCCCACTGGCCACCTGGAGAGTCTCTTGGGATCAACTGAGTAATCAGAAAAGGGATTTCATATGCAAGGTCACCATAAAATGTAATGATGCCCTCTAGTGAGCTGCTGCTATTCATTCCCTAACCAGGACATCCCTGATCAAGGATGGGACTCAAGAGCCAGCACAACCAACCAAACTTCATGCAGTCATCTTAGCACTACATGATGTTTAACCAACAACTGGTCCAGTATGTCTATTTGTATACATTATTGGGGCATTACTAATTATCTAGTCAGTTAGTCTGATCTGTAGCAATAATAGCAATTCCTTATCCAAGGTCACCCCACTTTGGGCTAAAAACAAAATCTCTGGGAATTTTTTGCCTTACAGATAGCCAAAATATAAACAAATGTCACACATCAGCCCACACTAAAACTAAACGAAAAGGCCTCACCAAGACACTTCTTATCCCCTTCAGAGTTCCAGAAATTATTGATGATGACCAAGGCCTGCATTTCACTTCTTAAAATACACACCATGGACTTTTGAAGAAGACATGCAATGGAACTCTCACCTCTCTTACTGACCTCATGCTGCAAGTCTCATAGAGTACAATAATGGTTTATTTAAACAAGTTCAAAATCAATTAAATCAGCCCTGGCACATTTCAGTCATCAATCAAACATCAGTGGTGAATTGTAATAGAGTCTGACTCCATTTGTGATGTCTGAGTACTCATAGTTTTTAAGATCCATTCCTCCTCCTCCCACTTTTTGTCCCATATCTGAGCAAGCCTATAATAGGGCCCATGAACTTCATCCCTTGGCATCTGCTGGAATGTGAAGACCAGACAAACCTGAAGCCTCCACGTGGCTCCAACCCTGATCACAATGAAAAACAAAGCCAAGTCCTGCTCTCCCCAAAAAGTCACATTATGCAAGTAATAAACCTGTGCATACTCTCTTGGTGTGTGTGTGGTCTCATCAGTCTTGATATCCAAACCAATTTGGGAAGGGTGTTGATCTCATCTTTGTTGGGTACAGCCACAGCTATGCATATAACTCCTTTGCTCGTAGACTTCCAAGAGCTCCCCCACTGTCCACTAAATTGTATAGAAACTATTTATGATAGCTTCCATCTAGAAAGATAAATTTATCTTTCTAGTCTTATACTCCATTATTCTCCTTTGTAAACATTACATTTCAAATGTTACTGTTCCCAGAAAACACTTGGTCTTCAATTGCCTCCATTCTCTTTGCTTATGCTATTCTCTCTGTCCTGAGTTTTCTTTTCTACCCATCATCTCTCTTTGCCTCTTCTTCAAAATCATCTTAAAAGCTAACTCTTCCATGAACCCTTTTTGGATTCTCCTGACCAGACAAGATCTCTCCTTACTTTGAACCTGATATCACCTTGTTTGAATCTCTGGTGGGGTTTATCATGTTCTATGCTAGAAAAAGCACAGACATGATCGTCATTCACATCTCCTCTAGAGCAGGAGTTAAGAGCTTGGATCCTGAAGGCTCCCCCAACATCCTCCCCAGAAAAAAACAACAGTTCAAATCCCATATCTGATTCTTACTACCAAGTTGTTCTTGGGCAGGTCATCTATCCTCTGTAAGCCTCAATTTCCTCTTCAAATGAGAATAAATCTTATATGTGAAAAGCTGCACTCCATGAAATGTTAGTTATTATCATCACTTGTCCTCACAACTAGATTAGAAGCAAGTTTATCTCAGAAACTCATTTTTAAAAATCCAATGCAAGATCTGAAAAAATGATTCATGGGAACTTACTAAAATTTTAAAGCAAATTAACAAGAAGATGAGTACAATTAATTCACTTGTATGAAATCTCACTTAATTCTAAGTATACCCATACAAGGCATCTAAAAAAATAAATAAAAGAGTAGAATTCGGCAAAGATATAGGTTTGTCTTAATAACTGCTTCCTAACTCATAACTAGCTAAATTTATTTCCCAGATGTTCCTCCATACCCCACATTGTCTTTCCCCACCCTGACTCACACACACACACACACACACACACACACTCACTCATAACTGGGCTATGGGCTTAGCTATCTTCTAAATTTGTTATTTTAACAAAGAATAGAAATTTATGGATTTAAAACAGTGACAAGTTAGTTGACAACTCGGTCCATATTTACTTCTGTTCAAAATCCTGTCCACAGACATTTCGTTACTATGTAAAGTTTGATGTGAAACTCTTAAAACATATAGTGAGCTATGATCTATATTTCATCATCCTAATTTAAATAGGCATCAAAAATATTTTTTGAAGTTAGAACAAAAGAGATTATACCCTTGGATCTAGTAATTCTCCCTCAAGGATCTACCTTAAGGGAAAAATGCAAAAGGTAGAAATACAGGGGGGTACAAAAATGCTTATTGCAACATAAGTTAAAACTGCAAGCAACATCCTGTATGTATAAAACATATGATTGTCTGCAGTACATTAGAACCAGATGTTAAAATAGTTTTCATAGTGGTGGAGAATGCTCAAAAAAGTGTAACTGAAAAGGCAGGATACATGTGAAATAAAGAGAAGGCCATTTATCCCAATATTAGCACTTCTTTTTTCCTTAGTCATAGTGTTACTCATGGTACTTTTCCCTTCCTGTACTTCAAAATATTCTACAAAACATGAGTTAATTTAAAAATGTTTTTTAAGTGTTTTATAGCCAGTGTTGAAATGGTCTATAAGAATCACCACAGAATGTGTACCATTGAAAATTAAAGTCCTCCTTGAATACAATGTAATACTGTATTGTAAAATTGAGAGAAACTGACATAGAGTCACTTGTATTTGTAAACTGACCCACCTAATGTTCCAGTCAGTCCAATTCCCCTGGGTAAGATCACCTTGAAATGTTGTGTGTCATGGCTCTCTTGGGAGGAAGAAAGTAAAAAGTAATAGAAACAGAACTGATGGCTGGGCACGGTGGCTCATACCTGTAATCCCAGCAGTTTGGGAGGCCAAGGTGGGCGAATCACTTGAGGTCAGGAGTTCAAGACCAGCCTGGCCAACATGGTGAAACCCCATCTCTACTAAAAATACAAAAATCAGCTGGGCATGGTGGTGCACGCCTGTAATCACAGGTACTCGGGAGGCTGAGGCAGGATAATTACTTGAACCCAGGAGGCAGAGGTTGCAGTGAGCTGAGATCATGCCACCACACTCCAGCCTGGGCAACAGAGCAAGACTGTGTCTTAAAAAAAAAAAAAAAAAAAAAAAGAACTGTAAGGGGAAGGGGAAAATAAATGTATAAACTTCCGTTTTTTTTTTTTTTAAGCCTATCTCGATAACATCCCCGGTTCTTTAAAACATATTTTTAATATTTACTTTTCACAAAAAGTATTATAGAGGGTCATTATCTTAAGCTTCTGCTTCCTTAGACCAAATGTTTCCTTACATTAACCAAGTTAAATTGTGAACCACAAGTAAGTCCTATCATAAAATGTCAGCTAAATATAAACTGTATTTGTTTTTATAAACATTTACGTGTAAGTGTATGATATAGTAATCATGTTGCTTAATCTTAACCCACACTTTTTTAAAATAATAAAGTAAACCTAATTAATTTCCCATGCAATACCCTGAAAGGTACTCATGCTAGCTTCCCAAAATTCACATAAATTATAAGCCTTTTGCAATCTGCAGCATAAATACTACATATGATGTGAGAAAATTGAGATGTAGTGTGTGTCCTGCATATGTAAAGACAGTAAACTGGCACTTCAGCAGCCAAGCTGGCAGTGTTCGGCTGGTCAGTCCCCTGGTTTTCCAGGGTGATAATGGATTTGCATTGATTTAACTAACTTCCCTGTTTGGTCCAGGCCCTTAGAGGATGGCAGCATGCACCTGGAGTGGGCGTGAGCTAGGAGAACACAGCAGAGAATGCAAAGCTGACTGTCTCACCTGGTGACTGATTGACTTAATGGTCACGAACTTGGTCTCATTTGTTTAGTTTTCTCACCAGCTGAGCTTAACTCACATTTAAGGTTGAATTATACAAACCAGCACTGCATTCCAGAGTTTTTATTTTTCTTTTCCAAAGAAATATCACCATTAAATTTCCAAAATACTTCCTATTATATAATAGACTCATAAGATTGTTATGAAAAAATCATTTCAAAAACATTAAATGTTTTCGGGGGTTAAAACATGGTAATTTTTAACAAAGTAAAATCTAGAGCAAACTGAAGCATTCACTCAAAGCAACAACAATAAAACAAACAAATTCACCAAAGCAATTGCATGTTTTTATCAGACATGGTGATTTCAAAGGCCTCAAGGTAGGCAATTAGTAATGCCATCATCTGGTAAAAAGAGCACCAGAAGGGGA
Organism: Homo sapiens; assembly: GCF_000001405.40. Taxonomy (NCBI): domain Eukaryota; kingdom Metazoa; phylum Chordata; class Mammalia; order Primates; family Hominidae; genus Homo; species Homo sapiens. Next base: position 240,321 of record NW_013171802.1, on the reverse strand, counting down.
ATCTAGAACCCTAGGATTTTGTCCTGGTTGTCACTGTATAACTGACACTGTATAACATAATAACTGTCACTGTATAACATAATAAGTCACAGTTACCAGTTACTTCATTTGTGGAATGGAAAGCTGAGCTTGACACTTCTAAGAGCGCTTCCAATTTTGAACGACTAAGAATTTGTATTCTTGTCAAAATTATATAAATCATATATTAAACATTTTTTTAATTCTAGATTTTTTTAACCCATGACAAAGAGCTGCTAAAATGTTCTAAGATAAAACAAAATAAAATGAGCCTGCCTTTTTGAAACAAAAGTCTCTAAGAGTAACAATGGGAAAATAACTGTACAAAACATCCTCAAGATGTTTTTCGTCATCTAAAAGGTGACAGGATCACCTGGACAATGTTGAATGTATTTTCTTAAACTAATTATTTCTAGTGCAGCACTGCAGTATTGGTGAAAGATCTTAAAAATACAATATCAAGGTAATTTTCATATATTATCTAGAAATATAAATTCCTCCCTTTCCTCTCCTTTACTGTTAAAAATGCTTGCACAAGTGTAAAAGTGAAACCAGAATTTCATCTAATAAATGTCTGTCTTCACTTTACGGTGCTGCTCTGAAAGGTGGATGACCGGATTTGGGAGCAGGAGGAAGCACGTGCAGAATTGTTTTTAACCTTGCAAATCTCGTGATGTCTCCTTTAGTGTAGTCTTGGGAGAAAAACTAAAATGATATGAAAGAATCACAATCTAGAATTGCAAAGCCTCTAAGGTCCTCAACAAGGTAAGCCCTGTTTTAGAACATCAGGTAAAAGGAAAAGAGTAAAACAGAATTCCTAAGCAAACAATCTCAGTTCATCTGGACCTTCTTTTTTACAGCCACTTTAATTAAAAAGACAAAAGACAAAGGTAAGTTATTTCTAATTAAATACTGAGATGAGCATAATCCACACTTACTGCCAATCAAGGTATTTCTAAAGGATTTATTATTTGTGATTTGCTCATTTATTTCAACCAGCCTTCCCCCCCAAGCTCCTACTCTTTTTCCTTTAAAAAATCCTATTCATTTAAAAACTCCTATTCAATGTGCTTCAAAGTCTCCTTATTTTGTTAGAAAAATCTGTCAGCTCCTGTACAAATTTGCCTTGTAGGTTACCATTGAATCACACCCATAGCAGCCAAACTGCTATTACAAAAACGAATGCTGCAAACTGAATGGTTACAATCAAAGGGGGCAGTTATAATTCAGGGCCAAATAGCTGTATTATCCTAAAATTTTTGCTACTTTAAATAGAAATTTATGGGATAGTTGAATAGCTTTCTAAATTAAGGGATATATCAAGTCCTTGAATTTCTAAGTATTTTTTCTAACTTTCTTCAAATGAAACTTGTAAAGGATAAATGAAGGGTGTTTTATGTTGAAAATTTTACGTTCAGTAATAAAGAGTATTACCAACTAAAATAAAATTTTAAAAATGGATACTTGCAGGTTTCTAGAGTCAACAATGCATTAATAGTAAGAACAGTATTTAAAACAAACAGACTTGTCTTATTTTTAAATAAAGTGATACTTTTATTTTTCCCATATTCCCTTATACTTATTGAATTTATATAGCCTCTATCTTCCAAGGAACTTAGAATGTTTTATAAGCTTATAGACTTAAGAATATTAGGGCTGCAAAACATTAATTAGTTGTCAAATAATAACAATTTTTTATCTTAAGAATAAGGTGTTCTTTTAATTGACTTTTTTATTTCCATATTTTGGAGAACAGGAAGGAGTGATGTGATGGAAAACAAAGCAGTAGCAATTGGAAAGTCCAAACAAGAGAATAAGTAGGGGGATGAAAAAGAAGCAATAAATTATAACTTCAAAGAAGCCATCTACCTAACAGGGAAAACTTGGCTTCACTTTATCAGATTCATCATTGCTTCAAAGAGTTGATGAGAAAAGCTAGACTAATGAATCTACTGCTTCCCTGGTTCTTAGATAAAGCTCCACTTTAAACTGTTAGATTATCATGTGATGAAGAAACAATTCTTCTCAATAGAGGCTCTATCAATATTATAATTTGTTTCCTACAATATCAGAAGACTTACTAAGTCCATCAACAGTTTACTAAGATAGTGGTCACTATTTTTGACAGATTAGTATCTCATTGTTCTTACCAAATAATGGCAACCAGACAGTTTAGGAATTTCTGATGAACACTTAAACTGTTTGATGGAATTTTAAGTGCCAAATATTTAGCTTTTTCTGAGGTAATTATAGGATCTGAAATATAACCCTTAAATAATAAATACTATATTTCACAAAACAAGCCTGATGGAATTTAAGGAATTACAGCTTTGTATTCTGACTATATATTCTAACCTATAAAAAGGAAGATTTACTTATTTTTAGCCCTACTTTGAAAATTTCTGAATTTAATTCAAAGAAGGAATCAGCAAAGATTTCTAGAACCTAAAATACTATCTGATCCTATTTTATTTATAAAAATATGAAAATGTAGATTTTATTTCAAACATAAAGCACTGAAGGACATAACCAGTTCAAAGGAAAAGCAAGCCCTAAGACTTACTGATGCAAGTTTACCTAATACTTTCAGTTAAGCAATAATGGCTACATTTAAATCACTTGATAAAAGAGCCTGAAGACTGATTAATGGAATTTACTTTTCAGATTAAATGACAGATAATAAACTGAAAAAATAATAAAAGCCTTGTATATTATGGATGTATCAATTAATGATTGCCTGTATTTACACCTAAATGTGATTTATTCTTCACAAAGGTGTATATACTTACATTATGAACAGCTTAGCTAAAATCAAAATATCCTCAAATTCTTAAACACTGAACTGAAGATAAGAACCTATAAATACTTGAGACACGTGTTTACAGATGTAGACATTTATCTGTGGTTATTTCCTCAAGTTCATATTCAACCATGTCAAGTCAACTTTTTAAACATATTAGCTGGGTCTCTGATAAACTAAAGAACATTTATGTTCCACTTTAAATGTTTTTTTGAAAATATCCTCAAGAAAATCTAAGTTTCAATTTACATTAAGACATTGAGAAATATTTTTTAAATTATATTTTATATCTTTTATTTCAGAATATTGTCTTTAAGACACTTTATCTTTATATTTATTTGCATTACATTTGTTTCAAATTCTGCTCTAAAAATCCACAGAACAATTTCAAACAGAGTTTTATTAAGTAAATACTATTTTTCTAGACCAACAATAACTTCATTAGCCTTGAAAAAGCCCCAAACTGGGAACTGTTTATTGTGCAGAACGCTTAGCTTTTACCAACTTCATTATGTTCTTACAAAACTGTTTCATAAATAGCATTAACTTTGGGACCATACAGTCACATGAATACTCAAACTCTCCATTTAAATACTAAAAGGATCCACCATTTCAAAACGATCTCCCAAGTCTATTTATATTAGACATTGCTACAGTTTGATTCTCAGCTATGTTAAGTAATAATTATCATCGGAACCAAGACCATTGAATACTCCTGCCCTTCATCCTTTTTTCAAAGCAAACTTGCACACACTGTAATTCTTTTAAGAATCTTTATTTTTTTTTTTTTTAACAATTCAGTCGGTTGGATCTCGATGCAGTTTATTAAAAAAAAATCAGTACATTTTCATATAAACTGCAATCAAAAAAGTAATTTACTTTGTCAAAGAAGTTATGAAGTTGCAAGTTATTTTTTGTAATATGCAGAACAGTAAAATGTAAGCATGCTCTTGGATGCAGGTGCTCCTGTGCACCATGGAGTTATTTTGAAGAGCCTGCTAACGTCTGCAGGCAGTTTATAGGATGCAATTATTTTCTCCACAACTTAGGTACATGAGAATAAAACTGATATTTATGAATAAAGTATTTTTCTCGAAAAAGTTGAGGCAGCTTTTGTTGAATGCTATCTGTGTGGGTACACTTGCTACACCTTGAACTGTACTGAGAGAGAGACAGACAGCAAGAAGCCCATGTTCATGCTGAAACCTGAAAAATCCCTCCATACGTGTTGAGGAGTTCCAAGAAAAAGAAGAGGGTAAAACACTATACACAACTGTTCATCGTCTTACATTAACAGAACACACCGAGAAACTTTACATAACAAGGAAGCAAATCCCCTTCACTGCTTTTAGTCAAAGTCCGTTGTATCTATAGTGGAGGATGAAAGTGGAGCAAGCCTAGTAGGGATAAAGCTTAAGTCTACATCTCATGCAGAGTTGTCCTTGGTCTGTCCTCTAATATTTCTCAGACATCCGAGTTAGAACTGAGGTTCGTTAATCTGGGGTCCGCATTGATTTCATATCTGTAATGATACCCTTCCATGTGATCCCTGCAGGCATCTCTGATGTTATGCATCCACTTTTTTATCCCCTTGCGGTTCAAATACAAAACCAGGAGGAAAATAGCGCCTATCAGGGCTAAAACAATACCCAGGAAGACATAAGAGGTTTGCAGGGATGGGGGAAGAATCGGGTCACAGTCCAGGTCAGCACTGTTGAGTTCCAAGAGGACCCGATTCCTCATTTTTTCCGGATATGCACAGGTGAGCCGGTCTTTGCCCTGCACTACCTCTGTTTCCTTGAGCCAGGTCACCATGTCTGCCATGTGGCAGTCGCAGACCCAGGGATTGTTGTCCAGGAAAACCCTAATGTGGGGTAGACCTTGCAACTCAGCCAGGGTGCCATTGTGAAGGACCTTGAGGGCATTGTCCTCCAGGTGGAGGCTTTCTAGATGTGTCAGGTTGCGGAAGGACACGTAGGTCAGGCTCACCAGCGAATTATTACTTAAGTCCAGGTGCCTGAGGCTGGGCAGTTGGGCCAGCACATCCCGCGGCAGGTAAAGGAAGTGGTTGCTGGCCAGCTCCAAGCGGCGGAGCCCCTGCAGTGCACGGCCCGCCAGCAGGGCCGCCACCACCATGCCCTCGAAGCTCCGGTTCTGCCGCTCATCTTCAGGGGGCACGATGTGGTTCAGGATCAGTTCCACAAGGGGACTGGGGGCCGAGACGCTGGCATTGCTGCCCGAGAAAGCGAAGGGACTGAGGTCGGCCAGTGGGTTGTGGCTGAGGTCGAGCTGGCGCAGGCTGGGCAGATGCTCGAAGGCGCCCGCGCGCACCTCGTCCAGGCGGCTGCCGCTGAGGTTGAGCGCGGCCAGCTCCGCCAGCGGCGGCCGGCGGGCGAAGGCGCCGGCAGGGAGCACGGCCAGCTGGTTGCCGGTAAGGAAGAGGTTGCGCACGTAGGCGGGCAGGTCCGTGGGCACCTCGGTCAGATTGCGGTTAACGCACTTGACTGTGCGCGCTGCCTCGGAGCACTCGCACAGCGCGGGGCACTGGTCCGGCAGCGGGGGCTGGGCGGACACGGCGGAAGCCAGGAACGGCGCCGAGGAGGAGAAGGAGGATGCCGAGGAGGTGGGAGAAGACGAGGAGACCCAGCCCAGGAGTACCAGCGCTAGTCGCGCCAGCCGCAGACGCCCGTCCCCGGCGGCGGGGCCCCGGGAGCACCCCCCAGGCATCGCGGCTCGCGTTTCCCCGGAGCTGGGCTGGGACGGCGCCCGCTCCGAAGGCTCGGGAGGCTGGGCCCGGAGGGCGCGAGCCGGCGGAAGCGTCTGGAAAAAAAAAACTTTCCTCTCGTGGAACCGAGGGAGTGGCGCCGCAGCCGGAACTTGGCTAACCCCCTCGCCACCGGGCGCTTCCCTCAGGGGCCGATTCCCCCGCCCCTTCCCTCCAGAAAGTACGCACGGCGGGTCGGGACGCTCCGCTCCGCGCTCCTGCTCCCGCTCCTCTTCCTGCCGCCGCCCTGGTGCCACCTCTTCGCCTCTTGTTGGCGCCCCTCGCTGGATCCTCTGAGGGACCTGGGACAAGCAGGAGAGAGGCGTGAACAGCGGTGGCTGCCGCGGCTTCCGGAGTGCAAAAACCGGCCTTTTCGAGTCTAGTCGTCTCCAGTCTGTCCCAGAGACCTCCTTCCAAAAGCCCGCCCCGGCCTCGCCTCCCCAACCCCTCCGGTCACTTTTACTCCGGAGGGGGACGCGCATCCGACACCCAGACCGCAAAGTCTTCCTTCTTCCCTGGCCCACACTAAATAAACCCGACCGGCCTCCCGCCCTCCGCCTTTCCCGAGGAGACTCGTCTCCCGCGTCTAACTTACCGCTTAATCCCCAATTCCTTCCCTACCAAACTTCTCCCTCTCCCGTTCCTTCCTGCACCGCCTCGGCGGAAGGTCGGCCTCCGGGTGTCTCCGCCCCCGCCCAGACCTCTCCACCAGGTCCCGGTTAGGATGCGAGGGAAGTTTCAGGTTACAGGACTTTTTGATCTCTTTTTGTACCTTCTCGCATTAGCAGGAAGTGGAGCTACAACTGTCGCCCCCCAGCCCGCGCCCCGCCAGCCCCTCGGATCTCAAAGGGGTTCAAGTCATCTCCAAAGAGGAGGGGAGAGTCTGGGAACAAAGCAGCAGTGGGACTCGGGGTACAGTGGCAACCCGAACCAACCCTACTCTCCACCCGAGGATGGGGAGGGGCCCCAACGACGCCTCCCGGGTCTCTCCCAGGCCGCGGGCTCCCACTGCTCACCTCCGCGTCCGCCGCCTCCAGAACCAACTCTGAGTTCCACCAGAGTAGCGACGACTTCCCGGCTCCGCGTTGCGGGCGCCGACTCTCTTCGCACCCCAGCCCCTGGCCCAACCTCCCAACCTCCGCAGCTGGGAAAAACCAACCCGGGGGGCGGGGGAGGGCCAGGACTGTCGGGGAGATTCCCGACGCGCGGCCAACCTCGGCAGCCGTAGGTAGGGGGATTTAAGAAGAGAGACTAGGGGAGCTGGGCTGCGCGCCTCCTCCTGGTGGAAATTAACGAGGAATGTGCCGGAAAAGGTGAGGGAATCCCTTTCTCTCCCCCCTCCCCGACATCCTTGGGTGGTTCCTCATTTTGCATACTGTATTTACCTTGGACTGGAGCAAAACCGCTGGTGAATCTCGTGGAATTCACCCTGATTCAGGCACCTTTGGCAGTGACGAGATAGATTTAGGCATGACAGAGCAGCGCGAAGCAGCAGCAGAAAGAAATGAGCTGAAAATCTACTGCGGCAGCAGCAAAGGCACGGCAGGTTGTATGGAAGCTTCAGAAGCTCTCCCCATCAAAGTGGTACTTGAGGCCGCAAACTTCAGATTTAGGTGTAATTAATGCCTTCCCGCCTGTCCCCCCCGCCCCCTCACTTCTTGGGTAGTGATGGAACTTGTGAAGAGAGCGCGCCAACTTTAAGAGAGAGAGAGAGAGAAAGAAAAAAAAAAGATTAGTGGAGAGGAGATTCATTCCTGATTCATTAGCTTTTCTCTTACCAAAATTAAAAGCAGATGGAAGAGAAAGGCAGCCAAAGGCATCCCAGAAACAAAAGGCAAATAGCAAAGACTTGAGTCTCCCGGAAAGCGGACCCGCCCCCCTCCCCAGATGTAGCGCGGTGTGTCAAGTCACTTCTGTGGAGAAAGCTCCAAGGATGAGGAGTGGGGATTGCAGGAGCTGACCTGGGAGAGAAGTTTGGTTTCAAAGTCGATTGTCCCAGGGGGCATCTGGCAGATGGTGATGGAGAGGATGGGGTTGGGGAGAGGGACAAATTGAATGGTTGGTTACCGGAAGGATCTGTTATTATACCAGACAGGTTTTGGGTTCTGAAAGCCCTATCGTTGCTCTCTGTAACTCCACATCCCCTTTGTCCCAATTAAATAATTTCCCCGAAGGGATAAGAAGGTTCTTCCAGGCTTCTTCATTTTAGAGAGAAAATGGCAATTAGGGAAAACATGGTTCGGAAATTTAAGACCTGGTCGTATTAAAAAAGATCAAATAAGGATCCTGAGGCTTGTGCCTGGGACATGTGCCTTTAGTGTGAAGAAAGACCCCAACTCTCCAACGGACGCCTGATTACTTTTATAGAAAGAGATAGTCTGCAAAGCCGACAGCAAAAATGGCTCAGACAAAAGCTGAAAACACTGGAAACTGCAGAGATTTGTGCACAAAAGCTGGTTTCATTAATTTGCATCTTCAGCACGTTTATCTACATCTCTTTTCTTATTTTTAAAAGTGTTTTGCAACATGAATGTAAAACACTTTGAAAAAGAATCTCTAAAGCTGTAGTCATGTTCTGTATCCGGATTGTGGTGGTGGTTACATAAACCTATACAACGTGTTATAACTCATAGAACTTTGTAAACCAAAAGAGTCAATTTTACTGTATGATAAGTTTAAAAATAAAATTAATTACTCATTGGAAAAAACCTGTAATAATGCTCTGGCATGGTATTAACTCTGGTCCTGATCTGAAGACCAACTGCTTTGTTAGGAGAGTGAGATACACTTTAGAATTTAGAAACATAATATATATACTCATCTGATTTTCAAGACAACTCAGAGGCAAGATAAATATTGTTAGTATTATTGCTTGTTGCTATTATTGTTGTTGTTCTGTTGTACAAATGAAAAAACTGGGGCTTTAAGTTAGCTTGACTGAGTGTCTTCCACTTGCCAAGCACTGTGCTGATCACAGATATTATCTCATTGACTCTTCACTTCGGTACTCAAGTTAGGTCCTCTCACTCCAGTTTTACAGACAAGAAAATTGACGCAAAAATAAATTACATAACTTGTTCAAATGAGTGATGGAGGTGGGAACCAGGCCCAGATTTGCCTGCCTCCCATATAGTACATCCCACATTCTGCCTCTAGGCAAGATTAAGGAGTTTGTGCAAAGTTCTACTCTGTTCCACTTAGGCAGAACGTAAACCTCACCTCTTGTTCCCTTTTTACTTCTTCTGCCTCCACCTTCCTGCAGCTGGCAATTGCTTATGGCTGCTGAATAGGGACCCAGAAATTTAGGGTCATTTCTAGCTCTGACACTTGCCTGCTGTGTGTCTTCTATAATAGGACCACTAATGAAATTTGAAGATATTTCCATGAAAATTGAGATAAATATGTCACATACTTAGCAAAATCATCTGTTTTGATAGTTCTCTCCTAAATTACCCCCCTCATGTTATTTATTGTAATCCACTATATCTCTGTAACTATGTTAGTAATAGGAATACAAGGATAAATAATTTAAAGTCTCTTTAAGGTAGAGTTGCCAGATTTAACAAATCTGGCAAAACAATGAATACCTTTTAATGAACAAAACAATGAATACCTTTTAAGTGTGTCCCATGCAATATTTGGGAAATGCACCCAAAATTTTGTTGCTTATAGTTGAAATTCAACTTTAATTGAGTATCCTGTATTTGATCTGGCAATACAGCAGTTGATAATCTGGTAAACGAAAGACATAGACACGGAAGCAAAAGCTCTCAATGCAGAATTGAGTACGGTTTGGTGTGTGTATCTTTCCAGTCAATGCCCTCTCTCTTTATAAATATTTCAATTGTTTCTGCTATTTTTTATGTGAATGGGATCATAGTATATGAATTATTCGCATTTTTTCTTTTTTAAAAACAACCATCTATTTTTCTGTGTGCATACATATAGGTATGCTTCTCCTTTTTTAAAGACTGAAATATTTCAAACTGTAGATTGTTGTACCACAATTTATTTAACAGCCTTATTGAAAGACATTTAGATCAGTAAATACTTTTTAAAGAAGTTTCCTCCAAGTGAGAAAAGCTTACTAGGATCAGTTCTATTTTGATTGTCTTAAGCATTTAATTATCCCAAATTATCATACTTACTTTACTCCTGACAGCTTGAAAATTTTTTGTGCATGATGCTATTTACATACTCTAAGGCAGGGCAGAGGATTGCAGAGCACATTTTTCCCAATTTATTCTTCTATTCCAAAGTGAAATAAAGGAAGGATCTGAATGTCCCGACAGATAAGAACCAATTTAGTGTATTTCAAGAGGTCACTTTGTAGCCTGCAGGAAACGTTTCTACACTATCATTTATTTACAAGATTGTTTCTACAGGGACCATTTTTCTTCTAATGACCCAAAGGAAAGTCAGTAGTAAATTATTGAAATATTGCTTCTAAATCCTGATTAGGCAAGGAATAAATAGGTATAAAAAGAATGATGAGTGGTTATGACCACCCTTATGGTAACTAGCAGAGAGAAGCCGCGTGGTCCAGCATGGACAAACACCAAGATTATTTAAGACTAGTTCATTTTGATCTCTGTCTCAAATTAGCAAAGGAATTGAATACACGTGAAAACTGTCAGATCTGAAAAGTAACTAAAACAAAGTCAAGTGTTGGTGAACAACAAGCACATATGTCAAAAAACCATGAACCAACACTTAAAACTAAAACCATCAACTTGAGGGTCAATTTGACAAAAAAAAAAAAAAAAAACCCACCAGAAATTGTACATGTATATGTGTATATTCATGAAGAAATAATTTTTTAAAATTGTCAGTGATTAAAAAGAAAACTTCAAGTCACTTTAAGTACTTGAAGTGTGTAAACTTCTGAGATGTGTAAACTAAAGTAAAATGTAAATTAAGGAATGGGTCAAAAGGAATGTATTTGTCTCATCAGTCAGTACAATAAGTGCTGCGGCTAGTAAAAGAAAAATATAGCCCTCTATATCTGTGGGTTCTATATCCCTGGATTCAACCAAACCACAGATAGAAAATAATCAAAAGAAAATAAATGGGTGGTTACATCTGAACCAAACATGTACAGACTTTTTAAAAAATTATCATTATTTCCTAAGCAATACAGCAGGGCGCGGTGGCTCATGCCTGTAATCCCAGCACTGTGGGAGGCCGAGGTGGGCAAATCACTTGAGATCAGGAGTTTGAGACCAGCCTAGCCAACATGGTGAAACCCTGTCTCTACTAAAAATACAAAAGTTAGCCAAGTGTGGTGGTGCACACCTGTAATCCCAGCTACTGGGGAGGCTGAGGCAAGAGAATCACTTGAACCTGGGAGGCAGAGATTGCAGTGAGCTGAGATCATGCCACTACACTCCAGACTGGATGACAGAGCAAGACTCCACCTCAAAAACAAAACAAACCTTTTGGTGAATTAACACTCCTTTCTGAGGGGCAGGGTTGATGGTCCAGAATGTGGTGGTCCAGCCTTCCTCCACCATTAATAATGGTTATTAAGAGTTTCTATTTGTATAGTGCTTTAACCATTTACATATTTTCATATGCATGATTTCATTTTCCTTCTCAACTCTCCATTACCTCTATTTTACACATAATAACACTGAGACTTAGAGAACCACTTGGTCCAGATTACCTAGTAAGTGGCCAGCCTGTGGTTTAAACTCTGTTCTCCTACTTTATTTCCAATATGGCAGGCTATCCCTGGACCCATTCACTATTTCAGATTCAGTAGTTGTTTCTTTGGAAGACACTGAGGTTTTCAGGGCAGAATAAACATATGTCAGAATTCCACTGAACTTTCACTTGAGAAATTAAGGAGAAAAACCTCTTCCCCTAATGAAATAAAGTTATCTAATGATATGTAATTTCTCTTACAGCCAAAACCAATGTTATTGCAGTTCAAACAAGCCCTTATATAAAAATGAGATAAATAAACATAAAATGTTAATAAAAAAAACCACAAAAAAATACAGCATAAAAACTATTTACATAACATTTACATTGTATTAGGTATTATGAGCAACCTAGAGATGAATTAAAGTATATAGGAGGATGTCCATAGGTTATATGCAAATACTATGCCATTTAACTTAAGGAACTTGAGCATCCCTGGATTTTGGTATCCGCAAGGATCCTGGAAGCAACTCCCTGAGGATAACAAGGGATGATTGTATATAGTAATATCCAAACTCTCCAAATAGTCACCATTACAGCAGGATCACTCAACATTAATTCAATAAATGCTTTTTTAAGACCCCGCTATATACTGTCCACCTATTTGATGCACTTGAAATACAAGGGTAGATAGGATAAAAATCCCTGCCCTCAGATAACTCACAGTCTAATGGGAAAGCAAATAGTTACAAAACATACGGTAAGTGCAAACATGGGATGGAGTGGGGAGACTGTCAGAAGGTTTTACTAGGGTGGAAATGCCTGAGTTGCATTTTGAAGCACAATCGGCCTGTATACTCAGCTTCTGCCCCGTGTATTCAATCAGCTGGGGATTGAAAATATACAGAAAAAAGAAACAGGAAAAAATAATGCTACAACAGTAAAAAATAATACAAATGAAAAATACAGTAAAACAACTATTTGCATAGCATTTACATTATATTGGGTATGATAATCTAGAGATGATTTAAAGTCTGTGGGAGGATGCATGTAGGTTATAAAAAAATACTATGTCATTTTATATCAGAAACTTTAGCATCTGTGGGGTTTGGTATCCACAGGGCTCTTGAAACCAATCCCCATGCATACTGAAGGAAGACTATGTTAGTAAGAACTTGACAGACAAAAGATCGGCAAGTTGGTGAAAAACCTGAGAATTTATTCAGTTCTAGAGACTACACAAAGCAGAGCACAGCACACATTGATACATTGGAGGGAGTGGTACAAGGTGAGATTTGAAATTTAGTGGGATCAGATTACTGACCTCCAGTCTAAAAGGTTTGTATTATTCCAGCCTGGCATGGTGGCTCACACCTGTAATCCCAGTACTTTGGAAGGCCGAGGTAGGTGGATCAGCTGAGGTCAGGAGTTCGAGACCAGCGTGGCCAACATGGTGAAACCCCATCTCTACTAAAAATACAAAAATTAGCCAGGCCTGGTGGCAGGCATCTGTAATCCCAGCTACTTGGGAGGCTGAGGCAGGAGAATCACTTGAACCCAGAAGGTGGAGGTTGCAGTGAGCTGAGATCATGCCATTGCACTCCAGCCTTGGCAACAGGAGTGAAACTCCATCTCAAAAAAATAAATAAATAAAAATAAAAGGTTTGTATTATCCTGAGTGATGGGGGGCCAATGGAAGTTTTCAGCAGAGGGATGACATGATCACAAGTGCATTTTAGAAAGATCACATTTGCTATCTGTTTAAAAGGTAAATTATAGACAAAGAAGACAAAACAGAGAGAAAAGTTGGGTGGTTCAAGTGAGGGATGACAAAGAGCCAAACTAAAGTAGAAGGAAAAGATTGGCAAGGCAACAATAGATTATATAGACCACTGGTTATTATATAGACCATAAGATTACATGGAACAGTGGTTCCCAACAGAGTGGCACTGCACCCAGTGCCACTAAAATATTTTTTGAAAAGAAAATATTGGCTTTTAGAAAGTTTGAAAACAACCTATAAAAATTTTTAAGATAATCTACAAATCTTGGTGATTTATTCACTTTGAAGGTAACAATACATACATTTATAATTCTAAATATAAGATTACAGATAACTTCTATATTTTAAATAATGACCAAGAGAAATTTTAATTTATCCCCAGTGTGACTAGATAAAAACCTGAAGTTCTCAGCCTAGAAACAACTTCATTTTACATTTAAGCTCCAAATACTTATAGTATGGTTTTATTATACGTTGAATTTTCCAGGAACAGTTAACACTGTAAGGAAACAATATATATTGTTTTGTTTGGAACTTTACCAAAATTTTATCTCTGATAACCATGCCACTCATTCTACTCAGATCATCAATATAGTATCAGTTTGCATTTGTAGTTGTTACATTTGCAGTGATTCTTATTTCAAAATGTCTAATATTTTTAAAAATTATTTCAACATTCATTTGAATATTGGTCTAACTTCTCTTAAATCCTAGCTTGTTTATAAGTAGGCAGAAGAATATCACCACTTCATTGAGTTTCTATCGTAGTTATGCCCAAGTATTTATATGTAGTGCTACATATTAACTAATATTCTTCTTTTATTTATCCTTTAATATTCTAGTTAATATAGTATGTACTTTTTAAATTATTTATCAAGATGCATTTTGTAAAATAAAAAAGGCTTTATAAAATATTGTGAAGAAGAAACATTGATTTTTTGAAAGTTTGAAAACAACCTGTATAAATTTTTAAGAGAATCTACAAGTCTTGGTGATTTATTCACTGTGAAGGTAAGAATACAGACATAATTCTAAGTAGCATAACATCACAGAAAACTTATTTAAAATTTTTTTCTCTTTTGAATTTAATATTTCAGATACATGGTATTTAGTCAGCCTCTATATTTTAAGTAATGACCAAGAGAAATTCTAATAATTCTTTATTAAAGAGTCAAGTTTGATTATGATGAAGTGAAAAAATACCTAGAGAAAGAATAGGATAAGACACTTATCTGTTTCAAGAACCTATCTTATTTGATTGAAATTATTGTCTTTTAAAAGGAAGTTATGGTAAATATTTAAATTAGCAATGTTACCTAATATCCTTTTTTAATGTACATTATTTCCACTTCGGAGGTGACACGGAAGATGTTTGCAGGGATTCTTGTCAAAATGTTCTTACCCAAGATGGGTTCTAAACCAAGACTGGAATTCAGTCAAGAAATGGGAGCAGTTGCAATTGTAGCCACCATCCAAACTCAATTAATTTCAATTAAATTTAACACAGTTCAATAAATGTTTATTAATGTGCTTTTCTGTAGTACTCACTTTGTCTTCCAAACAGGGCTACCTCCAAAGCCAGCAATTTCCCTTAAAAAAATTTACAATACTGGCACATTGACAGGCAATCTATTGCATATCCATGGCAGAGGTTCAGCAGATAGCGTTAGGCCAAAGTTTGGGTACATGACCCAGGCTTCTCTATTTTATTATAAGTCCTACCCAGTGAGTTAAAATACAGAGGTCAATAGGATGGTTCTTAGCACTGTTTGAAATGTTCAAATACAAAATTGAGTATCAAATTTAGATCCCCATATGAAAGCTAAGGAAGAGAGTACTAGAGATGTTATGTACTTTGAAATAGAAATTTATCATATTACCTTGGAGTGAAAAAAAGGAAGTTAAGGAGCTTAACTAGGGAGATAAAGTCAAGCCAGTGTCAAACCATATGGCCTGAACAGTGTGGGTAGCGATAGGATAAAGGAGTTGGGTGCGGGGCACACACCAAAGGATGCCCATACTGAACTTCAATAGAAACCCGGTAGAGAAATGTGTGACATCAGGCGGTACTTTCACCCCCAAAATATTGATGTGGGTGACATTTACAAAGGGGTGAGATTCAAAACGGTTTGCAACCAGTATGGCACAAAAACTGATCAAACAGTGTTCAATAATCAGAGGCTGCCACCTGTAAACAACTAATAGAGCTTTGTTGTTGCAGACTGCCTGAATACAAGCCCTGCATCTTCATAAGAAAACTAAAGACACTTCAAGGTTTCTGATAATCTCCACAACCACCCTCCAAAGTATGTGCCATCACTCAAAAATTGTTCGATAACTTCCAAGTTTCATCATAAGGAATTGGAAGCTTCTTTAAAATAGGGAAATTACTAGTAGCTATGGATAAACTGAGTTTATTCATTATTTATTACATAAATATTTTTGGAGTATGTGATGAGTGCTTCTAGGCACTGTTCTGAGAACTGAGGAAGCAATGGTGAAGAAGACAGACATGGGCTCTATTTTCATGAAATTTGTTGTTCCCACTACTTTGTTAAATCAACTAACTCTGATGTGAAAATCTAGATTTCTTTTTTAAGTGAATTTAAATATTTTATTTTTAAATACAGCAAACACACTCAACAATACAGAACAGCATAAAAACCTGTGCACCTATTACTCAGCCTTACAAATCCTAACATTACATTTCTTTTTTAATGTTCTTTTGCATATAATTGAAGTGTACCATTGGATAATTATGTATACATCCTTGAAACCATCATTACTATCAAGAAAATGAACGTATTCATTATTCTCAAAAGTTTTCTCATGTCCTTTTGTAATCCCTCTATTCACATGCCGCCCTTAAACCATCCCATCCTCAGGCAACCATTAATTTAATTTCTGTCACTACAGACTAATTTAAATTTTCTAGATTTCATATAAATAGAATCATAAAGTTGGTGCTCTTTTAATTTGGCTTCTTTCACTGTGCATAACTAATGTGAGATTCATCCGTGTTATTGTAAGTATCGATAATTCATTCCTTTTTATTTTTTTATAAGTAGCATTCCATAGTATGGATATAAAACAACTCTGTTCCAAATGGCTCTGACCTTCCTCCTAAGACCAGTGAAATAGCCTAAACATGCTATTCTTATGGCAACAGGTTAAGCACAAGAGCAAGCAAACGTAAATCATGTAAATCCTTTTTAAGATACTGCTTGCCTAACATCTGCCAATATGCTATAAACCAAAGCAAATCACATACTAAAGCCAAGGTGCATGGAATTACATCCCAAACAAAGTGAAAGGGCCCTACAAAGTGGCATGGCAAAAGGCTTGTGTAAAGGAAGGTCTGAAGAAATGGGGCTATTGATGCCATCTACCATGAACTGACATACCACCATTTCTTTAAACACCGCCCACGAGGATGTTTTCAGTCTTGTGCTATTACAAACAATACAGCAATGACTGAGTACATTGTCATCTTCCACACAGGCCAGTATATCTGTAGGATAAATCTTTAGAAGTGAAATTCTTGGTTAAAGGATATAGGTTTTTGTAATTTTGATAGGTGTTGCCAAAGCACTGTTCAGACATAATTGATTGTAACAATTATATTTCCACCAACAATGTTGGGACTATGTTATCATTAAAAATTTTTTTTCCAGTCTTACATGTGAAATGTAATCTTTGTATGGCTCTGATTTGTATTTTTCTTGTTAAAAATAAGATTGACAATCTTTTTATGTTTAAAAGCCATTTACATTTCCTTTTTTGAATCCATCTGTTCAGATCTTTTGCTCATTTTGTTTCAGTGAAGGTTTTTTTTTTTTTTTGCCTTTTTTCTCTTCTGTTTTTTTTTTTTTTTTTTTTTTAAAGAGATGGGAGTCTCACTATGTTGCCCAGGCTGGAATGCAGTGGCCATTCACAGGTGTGATCATAGCACACAACAGCCCCGAACTCCTGAGCTGAAGTGATCCTTCTGCCTCAGCCTCCAGAGTAGCTGGTGCTACAGGCACATGCCGCTGTGTCTAGCTTAGTGGGTTGTTTTTTTTTTCTTTCTTTTCCCAATAGATTTGTATATTCTAGGGAAATTAGTACCTTATTAAATTAGTTACAAATATTTCTTCATTTGTTTAATGCCTTTGGTCCTGGAAGTTTTTCATCTTGGTTTTTCATTTTAATAGAGTCTAATTTATCATTCTTTTATGGCTTCTGGGTTTTGTGTCATAGGAAGGCCTTCACTTCAAAATTATAACATTTCATTTTTTACATTTTTTAATCATCTGGATGTATTTTTTCAGCACCTGTTGAACTCTAGTATCTCTTCTTTTTCTTCTTGTTTTATAGAGATTTTTGCTATAAATATTATTTTTAAAAAAAGTTTAGGCCAGAATACATGATTACTATTTTCATCTGCTTTAATGCAACATTTTTTGGTGGGTTTTTTGGTCTGGCATTTGCTTTTCCCATTCTTGTCTTGCTTTCTATTTCTTACTTATCTTTCAGACAGGTAAGATTTTTCCTTGACCAGCAATCTGTCGAAGGTTCACAAAGTGAAGGTAATCTTGGGGATGTTCCAAGAAACTAGAATTTTCCTTAGAATCCAGGATGTTGTGTATGAGCCACTTTAACCTCTATGCTTCCCCAACAGAAGGAAATAATGAAGTGTGGAAGTTTTCACAATGCGAAGCTTCTCTTCCTCTCTTCTGCCACAAAGACTGACTACTTCTTGCAAATATGACTGATCTGTGAGAGTCCTGATTTAGCCTTGACTCCTCTGATTCACAGAACCAACCCAGTCTTAGGGAAGCATCTGCCAGTAGTCCTTGCATCCTGTGCTAAATACAAGATTGATCTTTTCCACCTCAAAGTATATACTTCACTTTCCAAAAATGTACTTTCTGACACTTTTTTTGAAATCTACATCTACAGTGTCTTCTTTCTTCTTTCATGCTCGATCCCACTGCTTGTAGGAGCCATTTCCCCTATTGTGTTATTTGGGGATTTAACTGTCATTGTTCCACTAAAAATGAGTTTGCACTTTTTGTTTCTTATTTTTCTTGTTCTTTTTGATGATTTTTGGTGAAAGAAAAGGGAGAAAGCAGACTTACTACCATTATTTTCAAATGGGAATTTTCTCTGGAGTTGTGAGGGGATAAATGTATGGCACAAAAAAAGATAAATAGAGTAAAGTTTATTAGATATTAGCAAAGGGTGCATATATTCAAAATTACTGTTAAAAAAAAGAACCATTGCATAACAAAGGGTAAAAATAAATAAATTAATTAAAAAGATATAGCAAAAGGAGAACCAAACCAAAAGGGTTTTAAAGATTCAGAAACAGAACGAACCCTATCAGTTATGGTATTAAGTAAAACAGCGTAAACTCTCTATCAATAATAGACTCATAGACTGAGTCATAAAACAAACTGTATACTGTTTATAAAAATGATTGACAGATTAAAAACCAGATGAAAAAGCCCTGGTAAAAATGCATCAAATAGTGCAAACAACAAAAAAATGTAGGGAGCAAATTATTAATATCAGACATAAGGGAAAGAAACAAAAAGAGGGTACTTTTGTTAAGAAAATGATAATATAATTCACAATGAAGAAAATATTCATAAAGTTTTATGCAGTGAATAACAAAAATATGTAAAGAAAAAATACAGGAATTGTGAAGAGAACATTTGTAGTAGAGACTTTTAGATGCTCTTTGATAGAATCTTTGATAGATTATGCAAATAAAGAATAAGATAATGAAGAATCATAATGTAATTCAGGTTATAATTACATTGTGTATGTATACATCATACTCTCATTTTCTAGTGCTCATTGAATAAATTCAAAATATGACTCTCTATTAGGCAATACTGAACTTAAATTTCAAAATGCAGAAATGAAATAGGTCACATTTTCTTACCACAATAAAATAAAATCAGAATCAATAATAAAAGATTTACCCTTTGGAAATAAAAAATGAAATTTTCAATAAAAATAGGAAATTTTAGAATTACAGACAAGTTGGAAATATGAGAAAAATGTCTTTCAAGAATTGTGGGCTGAGTGCGGTGGCTCACTCTTGCAATCCCAGCACTGTTGAAGGCCGAAGTGGACAGATCACTTGAGGCCAGGAGTTCGAGACCAGCCTGGCCAATATGACGAAACCCCATCTCTACAAAAAATACAAAAAATTAGCTGGGCATGGTGGTGTGCACCTGTAATCCCAGCTACTCGGGAGGCTGAGGCAGGAGAATCACTTGAACCCCGTAAGGTGGAGGTTGCAGTGAGCTGAGATGGCACCACTGCACTCCAGCCTGGCAGCAGAGCAATACTCTGTCTCAGAAAAAAAAAAAAAAAGAATTCTGAAACTTAGCCAGAGCAACATTATGTAGCGTTTAAGAGCAAGTTCTAGAGCCAAAAAAGTTTGATTTATATCCTGGTTATACTGCTTTGAAGCTTGGGTAGACATTTTAAGTGCTCTGTGCCCTTATATGAAAATGGGAATAGAATAGTAGAAACATTATAGGTCTGTTTTGAAGACTCTCTGACTCATTGTGAGAACTTTATAAATGCTATCCATTATTACTAGGAAAAAACTCTTTTTTTTTTGAGACAGCATCTCACTCTGTTGCCCAGGCTGGAGTTCAGTGGCATGATTACAGCTCACTGCAGCTTCAACCTCCCAGACTCAAATGATCCTCCCACCTCAGCCTCCCAGGAAGCTGGGACTACAGGTGTGTGCTACCCCTGGCTAATATTTTTATTTTTTTGTAGAAACGGGGTCTTACCGTGTTACCCAGGCTGGTCGGACTCCTGGGTTTAAGCAATCCCTCCCAAAGTGCTGGGATTACAGGTGTGAGCCACCACACCTGGTCAAAACTCATTTTTAACTGGTTTTGTCATAAAATAATGAAAATAAGTTACCTAAACACCAAACTCTCAAATTAGGTAAACAACAAGAAAATCTAAGGAAAATCAGAGATTTGATAAATTAAAAAGCAAACATTAAAAAATTTTAAACAATGATATCATTAACAAATAAATCCAAAAGATGATGGGTAAATATATACAAATCTTTCTTAAGACGAAAGCTCTATTATCTTACAAGATAATAGAGCAAAAATACATTAAGCAAAAGAAAAGGGATATAACCTAAGAAATGAAATAAAAATTTCAAATTATAAGAAAGTACCATGCCATAACTTTGGAAACATAAATATTAACAATTTCTAGAAATACTTAAATTAGGAAAACTAGCAGAAGAAAAAGTAGGAAAATAATGGAAAAAATGTGAAAAAGCTTTCAAATAGCTATCCCCAAAATGGTGCCAAGCCCTTACAGTTTTATTGATGACTTCTATCAAACTTCAAAGAACAGATTACCTTTTTACTACTTAAGGTAGTTCATAACATTGAAAAAGAAGAAAAGCATTCTAATTTTCTATAAAAGACAAGCAAATCCTGTGAGAAGAGACAAACTTGGATGGCCTCTGAGGCTAATTTCCTCCTCTATTTGATGGCTTAGCAGAATTGGCTTAGCAGGTCACAGTCAGTTGAAGAGAAAACAGACCATAACAGCTTGTGAGCTCTGAAAATCCCACCCCCATCTTTCTAACAAGGCCACTTCCTAGATTAGAGAGCTCCAATGTTGCATAGTACCCGCTCCTGTGCTGATAAATATGTTCAACCTAATGGGACAGGACCCTTCCCCACAGCAACAATGGCCATAGGGCATGCCTTCTGGCCTAAACTATGGGATGAGAAATTAGAAGATTTTATGCATTCTACTACTTCTCTACTTGTGAATTCTCTCCACCTCTAATAAACCCTATTTCATATCTGCAGCAGATGCCACTAGTGCTGTGTTCTGATTGCTTTGCCCAACACTCTAATCACAAAATTTGACGTCAGTACCAAACAAAAAAATTATAGCTAAATAACACATACATTTAGTTGCAGATATACTAGTAAATGAAACTCAGTAGTGTACAAAAGGAAGATTTTCCCAGGAAGACAAGTAGCATTTTCCCAGAAATTCAAATAGTACTTAACATTGGAAATTTTAGTTTTATTCATAATATTTATACATGAGAGAGGAAAAATCATACAACTAACTTAACAAATGTTAAAAGGGTGTTTTTAAAAATGCTCCGCCAATTAAAACTTTAGGAAAATAGAAGTGAAGATTAGGGTTGTCATGAATTACTTCATCACATTAGAAGCGTGTCAGCTTTAAAGAGTGGTTTGTGAATAATTTGTAAATGGGATGAGGTGATTGTTAAATATAATATAAATAGGAGACATTAAGAGTCTTGCAATGTAGCTAATACGAAAACATAAGGCCAGGCTGGGCATAGTGGCTCATGCCTGTAATCCCAGCACTTTGGGAGGCCGAGGGGGGCAGATCACCTGAGGTCAGGAGTTGGGGACCAGCCTGGCCAACGTAGTGAAACCCTGTCTCTAGTAAAACTACAAAAATTAGCCGGGCATGGTGGCAGGAACCTGTAATCCCAGCTACTTGAGAGGCTGAGGCAGGAGAATCTCTTGAACCCGGGAGAAGAAGGTTGCAGTGAGCCAAGATGGCGCCATTGCACTCCAGCCTCGGCGACAAGAGCAAAATTCCATCTCAAAAAAAAAGGGAAAACATAAGGCCAGATGCTGGTAGTATTTTCATATGTCATAAGCACATTTTGAATAAAAAAGTCCCCCAGTTATGAGGTAGTTCCTGGGAAATCCAGACCAATTCTGTTGAATTTTTTTTATTCTTTCCTTCTAACCCCTTATTTATTTCTCCTCCCTTATAATTTTTGGGAATTCTCTAGTTTTAATGGAGGAAGAAATTGTTCCTTCAGTGAGTAGTAGAATATGATTTAGGCCTTCAAGGTTAGACTCACCTGACTTTGACTCCCGTTTTGTCATTCCTATTTATGTGAATTAGGATACTTTCACTTCATCCGTAAATGGGGATTAAATAAGATCGTTAATTATTACCGGCTTCTCAGAAAACAGACTCTCCACAACTACCATTCCAAATCTAGGCCCTTTACAGCAAAGGTTGAATTTGTCTCCACCTAGCGAAGGCCCAGTCTGTGTCTCTGCCTAGCCAGAACCGTAACGTTTAAAAGGACACTAGTGAAAGAAGCTCTACTCCAAGTGGGTGTGGCCAAGAAGATGGATTCCCTCCTTAGCTCCCAATCAAGTGTTAACACATCTCACCAGAAGGGGCAGACTGTCAATGTTTCTTATCCCCTTTAATCCAAGATAAATAGGCTAAATTCCTGGTGAGTGTTGTAGAAAAGTCAAGTGCTCTCCTCCTCCACATAGCCCCCATCCACACAGAGGCTCTGCCCCAAGCACAGCAGGTCAAGAATGTTGGGGTCTGAATTGCCCTCATCCTAACACTCATAACACAAAAGTCTCATACCAGGAAAGGTAGGCTGGAAAGATCAGAGACTATGCACCCCACCCTCTGCAGTACCGGGAATAGTGGCTCAGAAATTTTGTTCTGAGGGAGAGACATCCGTAAGAAAAGAGAGCTCTGGACCCGTTTCTGAACTGACTTTATTTGAAAAGGAGTGTGGAGAAGCTCAAGTATAAAGATACTCTCAAAAACAATAGGGCTCCCTTATTAAGAACAACAAGCTGAACCACAGGCCAGCTATTCACAGACATAATCAGTGAAAGAGAGAGCTAAGAAGAGTCCTCCTTAGCTCAGAAAAAATCTGGGAGACTGGCCTCAAAAGTACCCCAGTCTGAATTTAATTGTTAATTTATTTTAATTTATTAATAAAAATAACAATTAATTTTAGTTATAAAGTATAAAAACATGTTTCTTATTTCATCTCTCAACTGATTTAAAATGAAGTTGTGTGAAATACTATGTTTATAAATATATTGTTGGGCCAGAACATATAGAAATGTAATATATTTGCTAATAACAGCATAAAGGAGTGTGGGAGCAAGTTGAATTTGGCTAAGGAAATGACACCAGATAATGACTTGAATCGATGGAACATATGTAGAAAACCAAAAATGGTAAATAATAAGGTTAACATAACAAACTCTATGTGTACAGGCCTGTGCTTAATGACCGGGGTATATTCCGAGAAATGCATTTTTAGGTAATTTTGTTGATGGGCAAACATCATGGAGTATACTTACACACACCTAGATGGTATAGTCTACTACACACTTAGGCAATATGGCATAGCCTATTGCTCCTAGGCTACAGACTTGTACAGCATGTTACTCTACTTAATACTGCAGGCAATCATAACACAATGGAAAGTATTTGTGTATCTAAACACAGAAAATGTACCGTAAAAATACCTTCTTTAAAAGTATAATTTTATGGGACGGCCATCATATATGTTATACATGTGGTCCATGGTTGACTGAATGCGATTATGTGGCACATGACTGCGTATACTTGTTCTTCCTTTTCTCAGCTTCTTTGATAGACATAAAATTTACAAAGTAATAGTTACAGCAATATATTATTGGGTTAGTAACATTTATAGATGTAATATGTATAATAATAATGGCACAAAAAGGAGAAAGAGGGAATAGAACTATATAGGAATAATGTTTCTGTACCTCACTTTAATTAAGTTTGTATAAATTTGGAATAGACTCTGATAAGACATGTATGGCAAACCCTAGAGCAACCACTGAGAAAAAACTTTAAAAATAGTTTAAAAAGTAATTACAGTAATTAAAATATTACTCTAAAAATATTCACTTAATGCAAAAGAACACAATAGGGGTAATAGAGGAACAAAAAAGATATTAAACAAATAGAAAACAAAAATTAAAACTGCAAACATTAACTATATAGATACTAGTGTTAAATGTGAATTGATTAGATAATCCAATCAAAAGACAGGGATTGTCATACTAGATAAGAAAACATGATGTAACTACATGCTGTCAACAGGAGAAACACTTTAGATTCAAAGATACAAATAGATTGAAAGTAAAAGAGTTAGACCAGGTGGGATGGCTCACACCTGTAATCCCAGCACTTTGGAAGGCCAAGGCGAGCATATCATGAGGTCAGGAGTTCAAGACCAGCCTGGCCAACATGGTGAAACCCCGTCTCTACTAAAAATACAAAAATTAGCTGGGTGTGGTGGCTCACATCTGTAGTTCCAGCTACTCAGGAGGCTGAGGCAGGACAATTGCTTGAACCTGGGAGGCGGAGTCTGCAGTGAGCCGAGATCACACCACTGCACTCCAGCCTGGGCAACAGAGCAAGACTCGGTCTCAAAAATAAATAAATAAATAAAGTAAAAGAATTGGCTGGGCACAGTGGCTTACATCTGTAATGCCACCTCTTTGGGAGGCTGAGGCAGGTGGATCATCTGAGGTCAGGAGTTTGAGACCAGCCTGACCAATATGGTGAAACCCCATCTCTACTAAAAATACAAAAACTAGGCAGGTGTGATGGCATGTGCCTGTAGTTCCAGCTACTCGGGAGGCTGAGGCAGGAGAATTGCTTGAACCTGGGAGGCAGGGGTTGTAGTGAGCTGAGATTGCACCACTGCACTCCAGCCTGGGCAACAGAGTGACTCCGTCTTGCAAAAACAGAAAAAATTAATAAAATAAAATAATTGAAAAAGGTATATCATGTAAACAGCAAGCATAGGAAAGCTGGAATTGCTATAATATTAGACACAATCAACCTTAAAATGGAAAAAGGTGTTATTAGAGACAGAGAGGTTATTTTATGATAAGGGTCAATCTATCAGGATGTTATAACAATTATAAACATATATGTACCCATCAACAGAGCTTCAAAATATGTAAAGCAAAAACCAACACAACTCAAGGGAAAAATAGACAATTCAACAATAATAGTTGATTTCAGTATCTCCCCTTCAATAATGGATAGAACATCTAAGCAAATGTTAACAAGGAAATAGAAAATTTGAACAATATATACAAAATAGACCTTACAGGCATATATAAAATAACCCACCTAACAACAGCAGAATATACATTCACTAGAGCACATGGGGTACTCTTTAAGATAGACCACATTCTAGGCTATGAAACAAGCCTCAATAAATTCAAAGAGATTGAAATTGTAGAAAGTATTTCTCTGACCACAATGGATGGAATTAGGATTAGAATTTAATAACTAAAAGAAATTTTGGATATTCACAAATATGTGAAAATTAAACAATATTCTATAAATGACCAATACATCAAAAAAAATCAAAAGCAAAATTAGAAAATATTTTAGGATGAATGAAAATGAAGACACAACATACCAAAACTTATGGAATGCAGCTAAGGCAGTACTTAGAGGAAAGTTTATAGCTATAAATTCCTATATTAAAAAACAGGAAGAAAGATCTCAAACACTGAAAAAAATCAACATAAAACACTAAAAAAAGAAAAGCAAATTAAACCCAAAGCAAGTAAAAGGAAGAAAATAATAAATATTAGAACAAAAATTAGTGAAATAAATAAAAGAAAGTAATAGAGAACATTATCAAAACTGAAAGTTGGTTATTCAAAAAGGCTAACCAATTTGATAAGAATTTCTTGGACTTCAAGGCTCAAATTACTTAAATCAGGAATAAAACAGAAAAAGTTACCACCAACCTTACAGAAATACAAAGAATAAAAAAAGAATACTATGGACAGTAGTACCAACAAGTTAGATAACTTAGATGCAATGGACAAATTCCTAGAAAGACAAAAGCTACTGAAACTGACTTAAAAAGAAATAGAAAAGCTAAATGGACCTATAATAAGTAAAGAGACTGAATTAGTAACCATAAAACTTCCCATAGAGAAAAGCCAAGGACCAAATTACTTCACTAGCGAGTTTTCCCTTTAAAGAAGAATTAATTCCAATTCTCAAACTTTTCCAAAAATAAAGAAAGAAAAGGGAATATTCTCCTACTCATTTAGTGATATCAATTATTACCTTGATACCAAAAGCTGACAAAGGTATCACAAGGAAACTATAGACCAATATCTCTTAAGAATATAGATGTAAAAATTCTTTTTAAAAAACCTAGGAAATAAAATCCAGCAATATATAAAAAAGGTATACACCATGACCAGGTGGGATTTACATCCAAGAATGCAAGGTGGTTTAAAATCTAAAAATCAACGAATACACCATATCAATAAAAAAAAATTAAACATAAAGCTATACTACGACCCAGCAACTCCACTTCTAGGTGTATACACAAGAGAAAAGAAAACATATGTCCACACAAAACTTGTAAATAAATGTTCATAGCAGCATATTCACATTAGCCAAAAACTAGAAACAACCCAAATGTTCATCAAAAGATGAATGGATAAAGAAATATGGTATATTTATGAAATGGTATATGATTTGGCAACAAAAAGGAATGAAGTACTAATACATGCTGTAACATGAATAAATCTTGAAAACATCATGTTACATGAAAGAAGTAAGTCAAAAAAGGCCATACATTGTATGATTGTGTTTATATGAATTATCAAGAATAGGCAATCTACAGAGACAGAGAGTAGATTCATGGTTGCCTAGAGCTGGAACTGGTGGTGTTGGAAATGGGGAATGTCTGCTAATGGGTATGGGTTTCTTTTTGGGCAGATAAAAATGTTCTAAAATTGATTATGGTGGTGGTTGCATAACTCTGAATATACTACAAAATCATCGAATTGCACACTTTAAATGAATGAATTATATGGTATGTAAATTATATTTCAATATAACCATTAAAACTACTAAAACAAAGAAAAAATTGGGATTAAAAAGCACCATTGTACAAGTGAGTTTTAAGGGCTAACTTGAGGCATAGTAACTACAATTCAGAGAATCCTGGGATTGCTGTCTGGAACTGTTCCAAGCTTGTGCAGCCTACGGCCCATGGGCTTTGCAGGATGGCTTTGAA
This sequence comes from Homo sapiens, assembly GCF_000001405.40. NCBI lineage: Eukaryota > Metazoa > Chordata > Mammalia > Primates > Hominidae > Homo > Homo sapiens. The sequence continues at coordinate 213,395 of NW_013171802.1, read as the reverse complement.
TGTGGCCCAACACAATTCGTAAACTTTCTTAAACATTATGAGCTATTTTTGTGATTTTTTTTCTTTTAGCTCATCAGCTGTTGTTAATGTTAGTGTATGTTGTGTGTGGCCCAAAATAAATATTCTTTCAGTGTGGCCCAGGAAAGCTAAAAGATTGGACACCCCTATGTTAAATGTTAAATCTCACAGATTAAGGAATTGGATATGGCTGGGCTCAGTGCCTCATGCCTGATGCCAGTGCCTCATGCCTCAGCCTTTTGGGAGGTCAAGGTGGGAGGATTGCTTGGGTTCAGGAGATTAAGACCAGTGTGGGCAACATAGTGAGATCTTCATCTATAAAAAAAAAAAGTCACAATTGGTTGGACATGGTGGTGTCTGCCTGCAGTCCTGGCTACTCAGGAGGCTGAGGCCAGAGGATTACTTGAGCCCAGAAGTTCAAGGCTGCAGTGAGTTATGATCATGCCATGGTACTCCAGCATGGGCAACCAAGCAAGAATCTGTCTCTGAAAAAAATAAAAATAAAAGCTTTCCATGAAATGGGCTGATATGGAAGAAAAGAAAACATTCCATATGGAGAATAGAAGTATATGTGCAAAACCCAGTACTTCCAGGCTCTCATGTTTCTAATTCATCCTCCACACTGGCACTGGAGAGCTCTTTCTGAAAGCAAAATTTTGAGCAATTTACTCGCACCTTAAAGCACTAAAGGCATCTCATCCCCTCCGGAATAAGGTCCAGACCCCTTAATTAACATTCAGAGCCCCTCAAACCACTTGCCTCAAACCACTCCTTATATCCCTTGTTTCCACAATGCTAAACTGTTCATGGTTCCTATGCATGTCATATTCTTTTTTTCTTCCTGTGTTCAGTACATTCAACACTTTCCTCAGAAAACCTCCTGGGCACATATTTTATTTGTCTGCCTGCTAAAATCATATTCATGCTATAATACTCAGCTTAACATTGCTGTCTTCTTGAAACCTGTTGACCTCAGAGTGCACCACTTCATCTTCTGCCTTACCCATGCAAGTTATGAAGTACAAACCTCTGTTACTGAACTTACTTTGTGTATGCTAATTATTTGTTTACATGGCTGACTTCTATATCAGACTGTAATCCTTTCTTCTCTGTATCTTTAGTGCTAGGAAAAGCACTGATTGAATAACTACAGGGATGGTTGCATGAATTACAAACTAATTACAAGGTCTCCATCATCTGCTTTAATCTAAGTGTAATTTGAAATATCTAAATAATTAATCTGATGTCTTCCTAATAGGATTGATATGGTTTGACTCTGTATCTCCATCCAAATCTCATGGTGAATTGTAAGCCCAGGTTTTGGAGGTGAAAAGTGATTGGATCATGAGGGTGGTTTCTGATGGTTTAGCACCATCACTATAGTGCTGTCTCATGATAGAGTTCTTATGAGATCTGGGCTCAGAAGAAGACAAAAAGAAGAGGGAAAGTTTGAAACTTCCTAGAGACTTGCTGGATGGTTTTGACCAAATACTGATAGTGATATAGATAGTGAAGTCCAGGATGATGAGCTCTCAGATGGAGATGAGGAACTTATTGGGAACTGGAGTAAATGTCACTCTTGCTATGCTTTCGCAAAGAGATTGGCAGCATTGTGCCCCTGTTCTAGAGATCTATGGAACTTTGAACATGAGGCTGGTGATTTAGGGTATCTGGCAGAAGAAATTTCTAAGCAGCAAAGCGTTCAAGGTGTGCCTGGCAGCTTCTAAAATCCTACACTCATTGGCATAAACAAAGAAATAATCTCAAACTGTAACTTGTATTTAAAAGGGAAGCAGAGTGTAAAAGTTTGGAAAATTTGCAGCCTGGTCATGTGGTAGAAAAGAAAAACCCATTTTCAGGGAAAGAATTCATGTTAGCTGAAGAAAATTGCATAAATAAAAAGGAGCCAATGTTAATAATGAAGAAAATAGAAGAACTGCCCCCCAAGCATGTTGGAGACCTTTGTGGCAGCCCCTCCCATCACAGGCCTGGAGGCCTAGAAGGGAGAAATGGTTTCATGGGCCAGGTCCAGGGCTCCGCTGCTCTGTACAGCCTTGGGACATGGAGCCCTGCATCACAGCTGCTCCAGCACCAGCTGTGGCTAAAACGAGCCAAGGTACAGCTTGGGCCATTGCTTCAGAGGGTGTAAGCCCCAAGCCTTGGTGGCTTCCACATGGTATTGGGCCTGTGGGTGTACAGAGGGCAAGAGTTGAGGCTTGGGAGCCTCTGCTTAGATTTCACAGGATGTATGGAAATGCCTGGATGTCTAGGCAGAAGTTTGCTGCAGGGGTGGAGCCCTTGTGGAGAACTTCTACTAGGACAGTGTGGAGGGGAAGTGTGGGTTTGGAGCCCCCACACAGAGTCCCCACTGGGGTATTGCCTAGTGGAGCTGTAAGAAGAGGGCCACCATCCTCCAGACCCCAGATGGTAAATCCATGGACAGCTTGGAATGTGCACCTGGAAAAACCACAGGCACTCAATGCCACCCTGTAAAAGCAGCTGTGGGGACTATACCCTGCAGAGCCACAGGGCCAGAGATGTCCAAGAGCTTGGGAGTCCACCCCTTGTGTCAGTGTGGCCTGGATGTGAGACATAGAGTAAAAGGAGATTAATTTGGAGCTTTAAGATTTAATGACTGCCCTGCTGGGTTTAGGACTTGCATGGAGCATATAACCTCTTTGTTTTGACCATTTTCTCCTTTTTGGAATGGCAACATTTACCCAATGCCTGTATGCCCATTGTATCTTGGAAGTAACTAACTTTTTTTTTTTTTTTTATGGCTTATAGGTGGAAGGGACTTGCCTTGTCTCAGATGAGACTTTGAACTTGGACTTTTAAGTTAATGCCAGAATGAGTTGACTTGGGGGACTGTTGAGAAGAAATAAATGTGTTTTGGTATGTGAGAAGGGCATGAGATTTGGGCAGGGCCAGGAGTGGAATGATATGGTTTGGCTCTGCATCCCCATCCAAATCTCATATTGAATTGTGATCCTGAAAATTGGAGGTGGGGCCTGGTGGGAGGTGATTGGATCATGGGAGTGGTTTCTAATGATTTAGCTTTCTATAGCAATGTGAGGATGGACAAATACAAGGATTTTAGAATAGTTTTTGAACTTAAAGTTTGGAAATTGTATCATAGCACTTTCAATGGAAACTGATCCTTCTGTTACTCTCCTTCCTAAAGGAAAAAAAAAAGTATAATCACTGTTTTGCATTCTTTCATGAGATGGTAAGTCAGGTGTGGCCATGAGAAGAAACAGGAGAGGCTCAGGAAAAAACAGTTTATGATGCTCATGGGTCCCAGAGAGACAGGATCACTGCATGCTGAGAGGGGAATCACATGGGAATGAGCACGAAGGGATCAGGATCACCCAAGCAGATGGGAAGCAGAGAGAGAGAGAGAACCTGTGAGCAAGTACATTTATTGAGGTTCAGGGTGGGACACACAAGAAAAGGAGTGAGGGAATTTCATTGGTGTGTTTGAATGTCACTAGGTCACAGTCAGGAAAGGAAGTAGGAAGGAGAACCTCCAGCAGGGACTGACCTTATCACATTGGTGCACCTGGTTGACTAAATTGGAAACTCACAGCCCTTTTATGGAGATTTTGAAGTAGCAGGAAAATATGTAGTTTTAGGGCTGCAACACACACTGTCTGCAAAAGAAAAGAGAAAAAATAATAATATACTTTTTGTGATGTAGATTCAAAATTGGGATATCAGGCAATGGAATTTAGCTTAATAATTCAGCAGTTTGCTGTTATGGGAAGTTCTGAAATTAAAAGGAAGCTTAGCAAAGTTCACACAAAGAAAAATATATAAATACTAAGTTGGAGGTTGCAACAGAAATATGTTTTTAAGAGTTGTGTAATATATGTTCTAAATGTATGAAGTGGTAGGTCAATGTGACAAATAGATTTTATCATAATTCACTATAAAATATTTTTGTCTCTGGACAAAATGAAAAGGTGTACTTATTAGATTATGGGTTGCACCTAATATTAAAAGTACAGAACGCCATGTTATTTGAACATGAAGCATTATTGAGTATAATTCTCAATAGCTTTGCTGAGCTTGATTTTCTATAATAATTTCTGTTGTAAATTCTTCCATTTGTGTAATCTCATTATAAATTGATTTTTGGTTAAGAAACAAAAGATGCAGGCTGGGGGCGGTGGTTCATGCCTGTAATCCCAGCACTTTGGGAGGCCGAGGCAGGTGAATCACCTGAGGTCAGGAGTTCAAGACCAGCCTGGCCAACATGGCAAAACCCCATCTCCACTAAAAATACAAAACTTAGCTGGGCGTGGTTGTACACACCTGTAATCCCAGCTACTCAGGAGGCTGAGGCATGAGAATCGCTTGAACCTGGGAGGCAGAGTTTGCAGTGAGCCAAGATTGCCCCATTGCACTCCAGCCTGGGCAACAACAGAGCAAGACTCTGTCAAAAAAAAAAAAAGAAAGAAAGAAAAGAAACAAAGAAACAAAAGATGCAACACATAGGTTCTATTTTATGATTAAGTCTTTATTGAGAAAATATTTGCATGCTCAAGAAAACTGCGATACATTGTCATTACAAATATTGCATAATTTTTGTTTCAGTGTTTGCTTTTGTATTTTAAAAAGTTTATGGCTTAAGGCCAGGCACAGTGGCTCATGCCTGTAATCCCAGAACTTTGGTAGGCCAAGGAAGGTGGATCACCTGAGGTCAGGAGTTCGAGACCAGCCCAGCCAACACGGAGAAATCTTGTCTCTACTAAAAATATCAAAATTAGCCGGGCATGGTGGTGCGCACCTATAGTCCCAGCTTCCGGGGAGGCTGAGACAGGAGAATTGCTTGAACTCAGGAGGTGGAGGTTGCAGTGAGCTGAGATCATGCCACTGCACTCCAGCCTGGGTGACAGTGCAAGACTCCATCTCAAAAAAAAAAAGAAAAAATTTATGGCTTAAAACTAGGCCACAGGACATTAAAGAAGTACTTGGTTTTGTCTCTCAAAGACCTTTTTAGGGCCCAGTATAGTTGACACTGAGGTAAAGGCCTATCTCAGATCTCTTTGTCTTTTCTAAACCCAAATCTGCTTATTACTAAATGTCAGCTTGGTAGACTCCCAAATAGACTAGGTTTAAGGAAATTGCTAGGCCATGGAATTTGGGTTAAGTTTATCTAGTACCATATGAAATAATAAATTACTTGTTGCAGAAATAATTTCTTAGAATTTTCACAGTCTATGGTATTTTTCTTACAGATCTTAGTTCTGACTACCTTGTTTTACAGTTACTTATATGCAGCATGCATTTCTCCTGCTAGATTGTAAGTAAGAGACCAAGTTTTACTTATTTTGAAATAAGCCATACCACTTTTTACAGTGGCTTAGCATATAGGAGTTACCTAATCAATGTCCTTTCAATATCAAATTACTGAAATTCATTTACCTAAATTAAAATATAGGATTGTGGATGATGCCAAAAATGTGTTTAGAGAAAATTTTGGCTTCACCACAATTACAAACATCTATGATGCAATAATTGATCTTGCTCTATAGATCAACTTGCAGACACATGTCATGGCCTTTCTTTCTCCCTCTCTTTTATTTTCTTAATCAGCAGCTCACTGAAGTACTTCCTGTAAGTGAGCTGCTTCATGTTTTAGCACCCTCCAGAGGCTTTCAGGATATTCTGATACTTGTCCTTGGAGAATAGGCAGGTAAATTCTTGGCAGAAATCCACAATTTTGCATTGGAGACATAAATGTTGCCAGGACTTGCAGCACGTGATGTGTTTTCATGGCACTGAGGCAGCCTTTGTCGGAACAGATAGATATCTCAGCAGCCTGACGCATCAGGCCCTTGAGTCGCTGTGCTAGGAAACTGATCATAAGGAAGAGATGCAGGCTCCCAAGAGATATTCAAAATGACCTTCCAGGTGTGGAAAGAAAATATTAGAGTTTCAATTTACATATTTTATCAAAAACTATGAAATAAATGATACTTTATTAATAGTTTATACACACTTTGCCAAAATGTGGTTCTCAATATATCCTGAGGAAAGAGTGGGAGAGGTTGATGCTGATGCTCTTTTTTCTTTGTTTACTTCAACCTATCAGAGTTTACTAATCCTGACTCTAATTCTAATCTTAACCCTTGCCAAGTGTAGCAGACCCTGTCAACACCACACCCCATACCTGCGGGGCCCACCTGAATTCACTTTAGGTGTGGTAAGCAGTTTGCTGAAAGCTCTGCACCTCTAGACCAGCCTCTCTCTTCTTCTCCTGATTCTCCAACACCATGGGGTTTGCTCTGTCAAAAACAAATGCAACCCTGAAGTGAGAGGGGTTCATGCCACCAGGGACACCCATCAACCAATGGGGAAGGAAGGTAAGTGGATAAATGCCCCAGCCTCCCCATCATCCAAGAAAGGATGACTTGAGGGATGCTCCACACAGCTTCTCAGAGGGTTGCTGTTGGGATTAGGCCCACAAAAGCAACATGCTCATTAACATACACTTTATCTCACTTCCTAATAAAATGACCTGTATATGTACCCCACTTTCTTTATCCAATCTACCAATGATGGGCATGTCTTTGTTATTGTGACTAGTGCTGTAATAAACATTCACCTGGATGATGAAATAATCTGTACAACAAACACCCATGACCTGAGTTTACCTACATAACAAACCTTCAAATGTACCCCCAATCCTAAAATAAAAGTTTTAATAAGAAAAGAAAATAAAAGAAAAGAAAAAGAAAAGGAAAATTACCTACACCCAAGACCTTGATTCAGGGTCTACTATTGAGGAAACCCAGGAAGTCAGGTTAAGTGTATTTGTGTACTATGTTATGTGGTTAACTAAACTCACATAATGTATACATATTTCAAAAAGATTTGAGCAAAGAAACTTTATATTGAAGATTATGTTGATAATGTAAGAGTGAGTGAACAAGAAAATGACATCGCTGACACTTCTCTGAATCCAAGTAAGAGCTCCTTGTCAGCCAAATTACAATACAAAAATAATGACTATCTAATCAGATATGACAAGAAATGGGCAAGAAAATAAAAATTGTCAAGGACTATTTGAAATAGGCATTTACATTTATAATGATAAACCTTAACCTACCTTGAGTTTGTGCCTTGAGATGCTAGTTAATGATAATATGATACCATCACAATTGACAAAAACTTAAACTATAGTATTTGCTTCATCTTTATTTCATTCTTTTTATATTTCTGCGTTTCATGATGTAATATATTAGTAAAGTGGTACATCTACTAATTTATACATTTGTGAATAATTTATAAATTTGCCATGCAGAGCCTTACCAAATGGAGGTACTTGCAAAGGTTTCTCCACTAATAAGTCTATGATTAAAAATCTTTAGGACCATTGTGTGAAGAATAATAGGCTTTGTAACTCTCTATCAGAGGTCACCACATTGAAATCCCTAATTTTAAAGATGAGAAAAGTGAGCTCCAGATAGTTTAAATAGCTTGTCCAAGATCACACTTCTGATTGATGGTAGAACTAAGTTATAATGCAGGTTTTCTGACACCCATTTTAAAAACCTCCACTCTACCACAGAGTGTAAGACATCTGACATTGTGTTTATCATGATTTGGAGGGCACATTTGTCTTTGGCACACATTCTCTGCTTGTCTGCTCTCATGACCCACATTGACTCTCAGTGTCTCTGCATGCTTGACCCCTTTATGTTTGCTGACTTTAATTCCTCCATGTGGACGTCTCTTTGACCATCTACTCGCCTTGTCCTATATGGCAGCTCCAAATTATGTTTTGTCCTGCCTTACAGCCTTATCTTTTCAACTCAATACTGCTCATGGTCCAAAATGACAGGGCTAATATTCTCCAAGTGGTCCAGATCCTACTCCAGAAGCCTATTTGGCTTCAAGCTATAGGAGCCATGCTGGTTGCATCTCACATACCACTGGATCAGTAGACAATTAACTCTTCAGTTTCTCCTCAAACTCTAAGTTAATTTTGATTCTGAAGTGCTCTAGAATTAGATGAGGGGTTGGATGAGGCAGAGAAATGAACTTAGTTCCAGATTCACATCTATAAGTTTGTGAATTTAGTTATCTACTATATTTTTATAGCTATAATGGAAAAACTAATTAGAACTTGAGTGTAATACATAGAAGTAGATCAAAAGGAAACACAAGGAAGTGCAGTGGTTAAGAGCATGGATTTAAAGTCAAACTGCCTGCAGTCTAATTCTAGCACTGCTGGCACTGCCATTTATTAGCAGCATAAATTTGGGCAAGTAAGGTCACTTCTGTATGACTGTCTCCCCATTTATAAAATCTGAATAATAACTTCATCTACTTTGGAAGATTGTGACGATTAAATTAGGTAATATAGCTAAAGCATTTAGAATAATGTCTCATAAATAGCAAACACCATGTAAGTATTAGAAGATAGAGGATCTTCACAAAACATAACTGTTATATAGATATTCATCTATTGAATTGACAAATGTCTGATGGTCTGTTTCTGTATACAAAATTGTGTTAGGTGTTATAGGGAGTACAATAAAATGCAGTACATAATACTAGATCCCAGAAGGGAAGAGGTAAGATGAGAGTCTGAGCTAAAGCAGCAGAAGTGATAATGAAGATGCATGGATAAATTTATAAATTAGAAAACACAGGTGGGCACGGTGGCTCACAACTTAATCCCAGCACTTTGGGAGGCCAAGGTGGGTGTATCACCTGAGGTCAGGAGTTCGAGACCAGCCTGGCCAACATGACAAAACCCCGTTTCTACTAAAAATACAAAACTAGCCATATGTGGTGGCACATGCCTGTAGTCCCAGCTACTTCTGAAGCTGAGGCAGGAGAATTGCTTGAACCTGGGAGGCAGAGGTTGCAGTGAGCCAAGATCACACTACTGCACTCCAGCCTGGGCTACAAAAGCGAAACTCTGTCTCAAAAAAAAAAAAAAGAAAAGAAAACGTAAGACATGATGACTGATTAAATGTGGAAATGAAAGGAAAAGGGACATAAAAAACGTCTCTTACTCCATCTATTAGCTTGTATGTTTATATAAAATATATTGTAGAATGAGGGAGGAAATGCAGAGAAATAGACTTCGAATGAAAGATAATGAGGTTGATTTGGATATTTCTAGGTTGTGGTACCTATAAAAGTAGAGATAAATCTGGAGCTCAGGAGAAAGGGATCCTGGAATTAGAGTTGAGATCATTGTAGAGGCCATAGGAGTCACTGAAATCACTCAGAGAAGACATTCAGAGGGCAAAAGAAATTTAGATCATACCAACATTTAAGAGACAATTTAAGAGGCTAACTCAACAAAGCCAGAAAGAATAGTTAGAAATGTAGAGACACCAAAAGAGTATAATATTGTGGAAATAAAAGCTGGAAGAAGGTCCCAGATGCCCAATTGTGACTGAAGCTGGGAGATTGAATATGATGAAGAGTAGAGATAGATCCTTGTATTTCAAGATTCAGTGATTGAGTTACAGTAAGTTGGTAGATACATTGTGGATAATGGCAATGACTTAGATGTCACCTATAGGACAAAACTGGAGTTTCTGTGGTTGCCACCTACTCACTGACTTGCTGAGCAAACTACTCATACTGTTTAAGCCTCAGCGTTTTCATCTGTATAAACAAAGCTACTAATGATACCTACTTTATTTGATTCCTGGAAAAAATGTAAGCTGCACAGTGCCTGGTACACATTATTCACTCAACAAATATGGCCTATTACATATAATGGTATTATTATAGTTGATTGATGAGAAAATGATAGGTTAGGACGTGGAGTCTATGAGGAAAGGAAGCAAAGACATAAAGCATTCACTTGAGTAGAAAACAGTGTCCAAGGAAAGATATATATGTGGTAGAGAGAGGCTTGAACATGTTTTTTAGGCAGAGAAGAAGGAGTCAGTAACTTAATAAAAATAATACTGTTATTGAAAAAGGAGGCTTCTTTATTTAGAGAAAATTTTTTCGTAAAGGAAAAATTTCACAACGAGATAATATGACAAGTTCAATAAATCAATAACAGAGTAATATTTGGATTGAAACATCTTTGAGTGAATCTAATTTATGAAAACACCTACACTTTGTTGGCTGTTCTCAAGAAAAGTGAATGCTTCTTCCATGAGGTGCTTTCAATTTATAATTTTTTATTGCTTGTGAAATGAAAGCTAATTCTTGAAAAATGTAGCCAAGAGTCCAGGCAGGTTTACCTAGATGGGATATCAGCTCTTTCTAACAGTTTTTCTAGTCATGTGAGAATCAGAAAGGCATGTGTGTGTGTGGCAGTGGAGGGGTGAGGGGTTTGTGGGGAGAGAGAGAGAACAAGGCAGGCAGTCAATCTTTCAGACAAATCTCAAGCTACCAGTAGGGTACAATGGAAAACACTGATTCCTGTTGGCCTTAAAATATTCAGCAAAGTTAAATATCCTTTTCCTGCAATTAAAATAGCTTATATCAAAAAGACAGGTAATAATAGATGCTGCTGAGGATGTGGAGAAAGGGGAATCCTAATCCACTGCTGATTGGAATGCAAATTAGGACAGCCACTTATAGAGAACAGTATGGAGGTTCCTCAAAAAAATAAAAATAGAATTACCATATGATCCAGCAATGTCACTACTGCGTATATATCCAAAAGAAAGGAAATCAATATATCAAAGGAGATCTGCATCCTCATGTTTATTGCAGCACTATTCACAATGGCCAAAATATGGAATCAACTTAAGTGCCCATCAACGATGAATGGATAAAGAAAATGTGGTATGTATACACCATGGAATATTATTCAGCCATAAGAAAGAATGAAATTTTGTCATTTGTAGCAACATGAATAGAACTGGAGGCCATTATGTTAAGTGAAATAAGCCAAGCACAGAAAGACAAATATAGCACATTCTCACTCACAGGCGGAAGCTTAAAAAGTGGATTTCCTGAAGATAGGAAGTAGACTGGCAGTTACCAGAGACTGGAAAGGGGAGGGGATAGAGAAGAAGAAGGGAGAAGGGGGAAAAAGAATATAAACGTATTTATTACCACTGAACTATAGACTTAAAAATGGTAAAGATAAGCCGGGTGCGGTGGCTCACGCCTGTAATCCCAGCACTTTGGGAGGCCGAGGTGGGCGGATCACGACTTCAAGAGATTGAGACCATCCTGGCCAACGTGGTGAAACCCCATCTCTACCAAAAACACAAAAATTAGTTGCATGTGGTGGTGTGTGCCTGCAATCCCAGCTACTTGGGAAGCTGAGGTAGGAGAATCACTTGAACCTGGGAGGCGGAGGTTGCAGTGAGCCGAGATCCCGCCACTGCACACTCCAGCCAGGGCGACAAGAGCGAAACTCTGTCTAAAAAAAAAAAAAAAAGAAAGAAAGAAAAGTAAAAATAGTAAATTGTGTATGTATATTTTATCTCAATAAAAAAAAAAAAAGAAAGATTCCTTTTAAAAAAAAGTAGCCCCTACCAGAGTACATGGAGATCAGCAGCCCCACAATGGCCACAGAAATGAGAAAAAGGGAAAATGGCTGGAAAGTACAGAATACTTTCAGTAAGTAACTTGGTTCAGAAAACAGCCACTCCCAACATTATGTTTTAAAGAGGTGTGATGAACCATTTTGACTGCCAGATATCATTTTGAGCTTTGCCAAATTAATCCTTATGCTTGTCAAACTGAAAGTTTAGAAAAATGTAACAGCTACTTCTTCACGATTTTGCCTAAGAGTTGAGCCTGCAGGCCAATGAAGAAGGTCCTTTTAGCTCAATCTCTATACCCCTCCAATCCCTGGACTTCCTCCCTCAAAGGCTCCGGGCTCAGTCAGTAGAAAGAGAAGAAGACTGAGTGAAATGCATGTCACTGGACTTACTTTGCCCTCTTATGGCAAAGGCTGAGCACAGCTCATTTCTGTGAAACTTCTCTGTTGAATTCACACTTTCTTCCTGGCCATCCGTTGTCAGCAGGAAAAGAATCTAATGGGCCAATTCACACAGAGTTGCTGATGACTGAAAATGGTTGATTATGAAATCCCTTCAGGCTATTTACATTTGTGGGAGAGAATTCACAAAAGCACTGACTCTGAAGGTAGGAATTTTAAGTACCTAGGAATGATCTAGGAGAGATGTATGAAGACTTAGAACTCTTCCTAGCACTTCACCAATTTTATCATATAAACAACAGCATATTCTTAACTCTGACAATTCTTGGCAGGCTAGAGGGCTGAGGATACTAAGAATAATAATCATGTGACCAGGGTCCCAATTCTAAACCCTGCCTAGAAAAGAAAAGTCTTCATGACCCAAGAAAACAAATTACCTCCTTCTTTTGTGCAGCCCTCATCATGGACTTGCTGTGACAATTAAATAGATCTTGTACTGATTTTTTTCAATCCATTGGTTAAAAATGTATTCCCAACAGTTATTCTAATCTGAAAAGAGAAGAAAGAGGGAAAAAGTGGTTCATGGAAACTGTACTCTAAAGTAAATGCTCAGGCCATTTTAGGAAATAAAAAAATTTCACTGATGAAACATTTAGTCTAAAACAACACTGAATAAATATTTATTAGGTTGTATCATTTGTAGGAAAGATACTATACTGTTGTGGGCAAATATAAAGGAGAAGACTAATAAATTACTATGTAGTGAAACATAGTAAACATAAATATGAGAAGCAGGTCTATAACCCAGAACAAGTGTTTGTGGATAGGATGTGGATGAAAGGCATAATAAAGTTATCAAACATTGCTTTACACCAAAGACAATAGCAAATCCCTGTCTTTATGTAGGGAAATTGCTTTCACAAACTTTTTAAAAATTTGATCCTTATAACCACCCTAAGATGTTAGGTAATAGAACATTAGAAATTCAACTGCAGCAGAGATCCGGAGAGAACAGAGGCTTATCTAAAAGGTTACATAGCCGGCAAACAATTTTGGGGAGGGATGGGAGAGGAGACAAGACAAAGTCATCCTACTTAGCATAATTATTGGCTGGCACACAATTTTACTATACCCTCTGTGGAAACTTAGGGTTACTCAAGTCTCAATAATTCTTCACTTGTTCACATGCAAAGCATCTTATTTCAATTTGATTATTCACTACCCCTAGGTATTTAGCTCAAGATAGTCTCACTCATGTGAATTGACACATGTACAAATTTGCTCACTTTCTGCATTGTTTTTAATGACAAAAGTTTAAAAATCACATAAATGTCCATAACTTATTTTATCCAGTAGATAAGTTATGGCCCAACCATACAATAGAGTACTGTGCAGCTGTCAAATAGAATGAAACACTTCTCTATTAATATGGAAAGATCTCTGTATTCACTTCCTAAGGCTGCTGAAACAAAATCCCACAAACTGTGTGGGTTAAGATAATAGAAGTTTATTGTATTACAGTTCTGAAGGCTAGAAGTGATACTGGTGGCGAATCCATATGGGTCTGCTGCAACCTCAATTTTTGCCTCCTCAGAAGAAAGAATTCGACTGAGGGGCATAAGGCAGAAGGAGAGACCAAGACACATTTTAGAGCAGGAGTGAAAGTTTATTAAAGAGCTTTAGAGCAGGAACAAAAGAGAGAGTACACTTGGAAGAGGGCCAAGTGGGCGACTTGAAAGACAAGTGTGTGTTTTGACCTTTTGACTTGGGGTTTTATAAATTGGCATGCTTCTGGAGTTTTGTGTCCCTTCTTCCCTGATTCCTCCTTTGGGATGGGCTGTCCTCATGCACAGTGGTCTGCTAGCAGTCGGGAGGTGAACATGCTCATTTGAGGCATTCTTCCCTTACTGGTGGCATGTCCCTGGAAGGTCATATACCAGTTAAACTTCGCCATTTTGCCTCTTAATGTGCATGCTTGAACCTACTTGCCCGACTCCTGATACATACCAGGAAGCTGCTGATCACCAGTTTCAGGTTTTTTCTATGCATAAGGAGACTGCCTTTCCCTGGCACTGGCTGTAACCAATTATTATTTTAGAGAGACAGTTAACAACTGCCTGATCATCACCTGATGGTTGTCTGACATTCATGGTGGTGGGGGGCCCTTTCCTGCCCTTCTCATGCCTGACTAGCTACCTACTGTAACAGAAGTCCCAAATCACGGTGTTGGTAGTGCCATGCTCCCTCTGAAACCTGTAGGTGAGAATCCTTCCTTGCCTCTTCCTAGCTTCTGGTAATTTGCCAGCAAGCCTTGGGGTTCCTTGGCCTGCAGTTGCATGACTCCAATCTCCACCTCTGTTGTTACATGGCATTCCTCCTCTATGTCTCTGTCTCTTCTTATAAGGACACTAGTCACATTGGACTGAAGGCCCGTCCTACTCCAGTATGACCTCATCTTAACTAATTACATTTGCAACAAACTTATTTCCAATAAGGTCACTTTCTGAGGTATTAGAGGTTAGGACTCCAAGATACTTTTTGGGGGGATACAATTCAATCTATAACAATCTCTAAGATAAATTATGTAAAACAACAACAACATGCAGAGCAGAGTAGATGGCATGATACGTTTGTGTAAAAGAAATATACACACAAATATTACACAAATGTTTGTAAACTCATTAGAGTATCTCCAGAACAATTCATAAAATGCCAGTGGCCTTCATGCAGGAGAACTTTGTAGCTGGCAGAAACAGGAGAGAAGAATTATACTTCTTAGTTATTGCTTTTTTTGTACTTTTTGAATTCTGTGTTAACTATTTTTAAAAATTCCCTTCCACAACTATTCTTCAGTTACTGTGAATCTATTTAACATCCAATTCCCTCAAATATTAGGAGAAGGTATTGAGATCATTTTTTTCTGGGCTGCTCTGGCAAGATTAATCAGAAAGGGAATTCACTCGGTTTAATGCCAATCTGAAATATTAAGTAGAGAGAGAAAAACCAGAACCAAGATGAGATAATGGGCTCAGAAACTGTGTGACCAGAATCCAAAGCTAAGCAAACACATATGACAGAAGTTGAGTTCAAATTCTCCAGCAGAATAATTATGGATGTGAGGGCCAGGATCAGAAATAGCAAGGCAAGTCACACACACAGTGGTGTCTTAGTGGGCAGTATTTTCTAACCCTGCCAGTCCTAAGAATCATCTTTTCCGCATACTCTGCTTCCATCAGTCTGAGGCCTTGGCCACAAAATCTGAATGTTTAATATGTGCAGAGAGAAAGTTTGGCAAACACTAAAGATTAGAGAGAGAACAGAGGGAGGAGAGAGACTTAATGACTATCTTTGGTGTTACCTCTTTATCTATCTGATTCTGCCTTAAAATTAACCCTGATCCTAAGGTATAAGCAAGCTCTTCAGCTCAGGACTATTTGGGGTGACCTAGCTTTTGCCTCACCATCCCACTGTTATCCTTTATTCATCCCTGCTTCTCCCCAATAACTCTAATATTAAAATTTCTCTGACATGAGCTTTTCATTTCCTCCTGTATTATTTACATCCTCAAGGAAGATGGTCAAACTGATATTCCTAAGGGTTTCAAGTGAGAGTAAGCATAAGAGATCAGGATCTAGAATGGAATTGATAATGGAAGAACTACAATTACCCTTCAGGATTAAAATTAGGTCTTTCATAGGATGAAAATTAGGTCTTTCAACAGAATTAGAAAACATGCTGTTGATTAAAAAAATTTTCAAACTATATCTTGATGTAATTTGTTTTGTAAGGAGTTAATAGTGTGCTGCTTAAATAGGACTGGTAGTACAATAAATTTGGAAAATACTAATAATTATTCCCTCTTTAAAGACTCACTGTGAATATTGTAGTTAAGGCTCTAAGAAGTCTTGATGTAAAAAAAACTGTTTGATTTCATTGAACTCAGAGTTTAGAAAACTTACTTGACTACATATCTCTTTTTTACACTGTACTTATTGAAGTTTTCTTGCAAATCTGCGGTTCCAAGAAGCATAGTGGATGAAATAGGACTATTTCTTGGCACATTTATATATTTAACAAACATTATCAAACATTATCTAGAAGAATAAACTAGGCAAAATTTTTTTCCACAAAACATAGGGAATTTTTTTTACAAGCTCCTTTACTAACATGCATTATTTTGTAATTTTGTTTTTAAAAAATATAGACATTTTCTTGAATATTCTTCTTTCTAAAATATGATTAATATGAGAACACACTAGATTGTTGATCTAGTAAGTGTTGGTTTATTGCCTAAAAAGAAACACCATATTATCAACAGAGTATATAGACAACCTACAGAGAGAAAATATTGAGAAACTATATATATCTGACAAAGAACTAATTCTAGAATCTATAAGGAACTGAAACAAATTAACAAGAAAAAAAATCCTTTAAAAAGTGGATAAATGACATGTGTAGACATTTCTCGAAAGAAGATATAGAAATGGCCAAGAAACATGAACAAATGCTCAACAACACTAGTCATCAGGAAAATGCAAATTAAAGCCACAATGAGATACTACTTTACCCCAGTCAGAATGGCCATTACTAAGAAGACAAAAAACAATAGATATCAATGTGGGTGCAGTGAAAAGGGAATGCTTTTCTACTATTGGTGGGGATGTAAATTAGTACAACCACTATGGAAAACAGTAGAGAGATTTCTCAAAGAACTAAAAGCAGACCTACCATTCAATCCAGCAATCTCACTATTGGGTGTCTACTTAAAGGAAAAGAAGTCATTATATCAAAAAGACGCTTGCAACTCATATGTTTCTTGCAACACAATTCACAATTGCAAAGATTAAAAAATCAACCTAAGTGCCCATTGACACACACACACACACACCCCATAGAATACTACTCAGCCATAAAAAAGAGTGAAATAAAGTCTTTTGCAGCAACTTGGAAGAACTGGAGGCGATTATCCTAAGTGAAGTAACTTAGGAATGTAAAACGAAAAACAGAATGTTTGCACTTGTAAGTGGGAGCTAACCTATGGGTACACAAAGGCATACAGAGTGCCACAATGGACATTGGAGACTCAGAAGAAAGGAGGGTGGGAAAGGAGTCTGGGATGAAAAATTACCTACTGGGTACAATGTACACTACTCAGGTGATGACTACACTAAGAGCCCAGACTTCACCACTATACAATTCATCCATATAATTAAAACCACATGTACCCCTTAAGCTATTGATATTAAAAACAAAAGAACAAAAAACAACAGTTTATGAGAATATTGAAGTACAGTATATATTTCTTAAATATGTAGTACAACAAATGCTGAGTTGTATAATAAATTCATCTAAGTGGCAATAAAATATTGGATTTAATGACAAACATAAAAATATTCAAAGATAGAATGAGACTTCTGATTAAACATGGCAAACTGAACCTGTTTGTTTAGTTCTGTGCTCTCCTAAAACCCCCACTTAAATGGCAGCAAAGGAATAAAACCACTGTGAGAACAAAGAGAACAGGGTGGGGAATAACAGCAGCTAAGAGATAGCCACACATTTTAGATGGTGGGAAATAATTAATGAGTGATAAAAGACAGCTCAGCAGAGATCACTGAAGCCTAACTGCCTGCAGTGTCAGATGCCCCAACAGAAGCACTCCCATTAAACTTTAAGGGCCATAAAGCTTTGGGACTTGAAGACACTGGTTCCTCGTGAAGAACCAGGGTATGGGATAGCACTAAAAAGAAGAGAATTGATGAGAAGACTGTAAGCAGCAGTATAGAACTCCCAGATCTCCTCTTCAGCCAACAAAGTCAGATACCACTCCTCTGGGACCCTGGTAGGAATCAGGATGAAGAGTCAGTTTTACCATGAAGCGAATGAAGCATAGGCCCTCCACTTGCACTGGTCCCTTCCAAGTTCCTGTATTTAATTTTGCATTCATAGTTTATTTATTTTTTTTTGGTCTGGAAGAGGGCCCCCCAAAGACTATAAGCTTTAGGCCCACAAAACCTGGATTCACCCTAGACAGAGTGGAGAGCTGGGACTAGGGGACACCATGTTGAACACAAGGGGATTGGGTGAGAGTCTGCATGAAAAACAGTTACCCTCTATCCTAATTCTGCTCACAAAACACTGGTAGCAAAACTTAATACCCCTAGGCAAGAAGTAAACTGGAAATAACTGACAAGCTCAAAATCAAAGATACACAGAAATTGATATTTAGGGAAGCCCAGCTGCCTCTTCAGGGAATCCTTAACCCAACTCAACTTTCCTAAAGCAAGTCTCACCAGTTGAGAAGTCCCATAGCTTAAAAGCCTCCTTTTTATATATGAATAAACTGCCAAGAATCACCAGTAAGAATCACTAGAGAAAAGCCTCTAACATAATAGATAGGGGGAAAGTCCGGGCACAGTGGCTCAAGCCTGTAATCCCAGCACTTTTGGAGGCCAAGGTGAGTGGATCACTTGAGGTCAGGAGTTCCAGGCCAGCCTGGCCAACATGATGAAACCCCTCTCCCTATCTCACCTCCCACCTACCCCGCCACACCTCCATCTCTACTAAAAATACAAAAATTAGCTGGGCGTGCTGGCAGGCACCTGTAATCCCAGCTACTCGGGAGGGTGAGGCAGAAGATCTGCTTGAACCCGGGAGGCAGAGGTTGCAGTGAGCCGAGGTCACGCCAATGCATTCTAGCCTGGGTGACAGAGTGAGACTCCATCTCAAAAAATTAAAATAAAATAAAATAGAGGGAAAAACACAGGAAAACTTCAAAACTTACAAACCTATAATAAATATCCTCAGAAAGAAAAGAGAAAAACATGCATCCAGTTTAAAATGTTTGTATCTATACTTGTGTATAAATACATAAATATATATATATAAGTGTGTGTATATATGCATATATATACACGTATTATAAATACACGCATAAAAAATAAAAATATTGATATTGATTCTATTTATTTATTTATTGAGACAGAGTCTTACTCTGTCTCCCAGGCTGGAGTGCAGTGGTGTGATCCGGCTCAGTGCAACTTCCACCTCCCGGGTTCAAGTGACTCTTCTGCCTCAGCTTCCCAAGTAGCTGGGATTACCACCACCATGCCTGGCTAATTTTTATATTTTTAGTAGAGACCGTGGTTTTGCTATGTTGACCAGGCTGGTCTCGAACACCTGACCTCAGGTGATCCACCCATGTCAGCCTCCCAAACTGCTGGGATTACAGGTGTGAGCCACCGCACCTGGCCTGATATTGATATTTTAAATATGATAGATTGAAACATAACATTGAGGAAATTCAATTAATAATGATTCCAGAAAAAAAGTATTAAAAAAATGAAGGGGAGAAAATTATTAAAGAAATAACACATGTAGGTTTCTGAGCTGTGAAAATCTGAGTTTCCAAATTGAAAGTCTGCTAAATTCTCAACATAATAAATAATAATAACTAATATTAATAGCTAGTGTTTACAGGGGGCTTGCTATGTGCCAGGCACTATTCTAGACATTTTTAAATATTGCTGCTATCCTTCCCCAAACCCTATGATGTCGGCTCCTTTAGCAGCCAACAGAAGCACAGAGATATTGAGTAACCCATCCAAAATTATAGAGCTATTTAAGTGATGAACCTAGAACTCTGGCTCTAGAATCTGTTTTTGTAATCACCACACATTTCTGCCTCTCCATTAAAAAAAGGCCTTGTGCAAGCTAAATTATTTTGAAATTTTAGAACCCTAAGACTTCCAGTGAAAAAAAAACTAGGTCACATTCCAAGGACTGGGAACAAGAATGACATCAGAATTCCAAATAGCAATACTGAAATCCAGAAGGCAATGAAGCAATGTCTCTGATTTCTGAGAAAAAATTATTTCCAACTTAGAATCCTATACCCAGGCTACCTATCAAGGATAAGAGTAGAATAAAAACATTTTCAGTCACTCAAGTTTGTATAAATTTACTTCATGTGCACCCCTTTTCAAGAGGCCACTGGAGGGCTAAATCAAGAAAGAGGAAGATGTGGGAGCTGGTAAAGGTGATGCACCCAGGGGAGAGGCAGAGGGAAATCCTAGGAAGATAATGAAGGGGGGCTTGCACATGACAGCTATGCTGCAGGCCTGGAAAGTTACTGGAAAAGGCTGGAGCAGGAGGACAGAGGTATCTGGGAGGAATGATGAGAGAGGAAGAAAAGGAGAAGGAGAAAAAAAAAACAGAATTAACTGTTGTGTTTGACCACATCAAGAGAAGTTTTATAGTTTTGGCAGAATGATAGGAATGAATTAGTTCTCAGTACATGGAAAACAAATCAAATGCAAATAAAATTACAGTCTCAGAGAAAAGAAATAGTTGTACAATAAATGAATGGTAATTATAGTACGATATATGCTTCAGTGTCAAGTAGTTATCTAGTCATATCGGTGAAAACATCAAACGTTTTATTACAACTATATTGGGTAGAGGGAGGAAAGAGACTTGTGTCCTTTCCCATTGTCTTTTTTTCTTTCCTTTTTTTCATATTATGGTTCACTTTCTGGAATTATATAATTCAGTTATTTAGTTATTTATGTTATTTAGTTATTTTACCTTCTCAAACCGCAATGTAAGTTCATAAGTACTGGGGACTTTGTTCTGTTCACGGGTATATCCCCAGTCTCTACAACATTTATTGCAGGAAGAGGCAGACTGTAGAGCTGAGCAAAATCTTCATCCTTTAGAGTAGAAAAGCAATAGGCAACATCCAATCCTTTAGAGTAGAAATCAATAGGCAATGTCCAATACTGAGAAATCTAGAAGTAGTGGTATAAACATATTAATTCAAATAATACCAGGAGAAAACAGCTAACCAAAATAGTTGAAAGAGATGTCCTCTGGGAAGCAGTAAGAATGTGAAGAGATGATTTAAGAGACAGCTGTAAGCTTTGTGATTTTTTTTTATTCTTAAATTATTTACATGTAGTACTTTGATAAACTTTGAAAAGGAAAAAAATAAATGGATACTATAAAATTATTCATAGCAAAACTGATAACACTTGACATTGAAAACATTTCACAATAGTGTTTCAGAATGACTGATTTCATAATATGCATAATGAATTGCATGAGATAAGAGATTACAGGAAAGAAAATCAGAAAGGAGACTTTGAGCTAATTCAGATGGTAGATGCTGAGGCCTTTAAGTGAATGGGTATCCCTGAAATTGGAGAAGTAGTGACATATTAGAATATATTTTGGTAGTTAAAAAAGTAACTAAAAAGATATCCGGGAAAGACTGCATATTCCATAACCATCACTAATAGGCATTCTCAAGTAATTTTTCAGGACTTTTGCAATAGTGAGTACAATTCTGTAATTTGAAACAAACACAAGTTAAAAGAAATCCAAGATTACTCTTATTTTTTGCAATATTCCTTTCAAAACACTTTTATAGTTTTAGTGTCCATCATGAGCAGTCTTGACAGTTTTTTGGTACACAGGGCAACTTTTGAAGCATGAGGTAGAATTGCAGTATCATGTCATAGTATTATCTTCAGTTCTACAGATTCAGAAGTCAACATTTTCTGATTTTAAAACCAGATTATACACTATATTCCTGATAAAGACCTCAAGCTATCTCTCAGCTCTTGGAAGTACCAAAACACCTTGCTTTTCTTCCTGTGGCATTTACCTTATTCTGCCTTGAATAATTTCTTTTTTTTTTTTTTTTGAGACAGAGTCTCACTCTATTGCTTAGGCTGGAGGGCAGTGGCACAATTTCAGCTCACTGCAACCTCCACCTGCTGGGTTCAAGTGACTCTCATACCTCAGCCTCCCAAGTAGCTGGGACCACAGGTGCATGCCACCAGGCCCGGCTAATTTTTGTATTTTTGGTGGAGACGAGATTTCATCATATGTGCCAGACTGGTCTTGAACTCCTGACCTCAAGTGATCCGCCTGCCTCAGTCTCCCAAAGTGCTGGGATTACAGGTGTGAGCCACCATGCCCAGCCTGCCTTGTATAATTTTTCATTGCTTTCATTCTTATGAATCAATAAGGCACTTTTAATAGGCATGAATACCACAAACATGTAGGTCCTCAATAAAGATTTGTTGAATTGAATTGACTATTCATATTTATGCATGCTTACAGAAATTTAATTATTCCCTTCTGGAGGAAAGGAGCTCAGTTTCCTCAATGAATAAAGAATTAAGGAAACTGAGCCCCTCTCCTCCAGAAGGGAATAACTCTTCCTTATTTAATACCTTAGATCAGTTGTTCTCGATCCTGGCTGCACATTATTAATACAATAACTGGAGACTTTTAAAACAAATTCTGATGCTCAAGTCAATAAAATATCTGGGTGTGTGAAGCTTCTATTTTTTAAATAAATTCTTCTCTTGATTTTAATATGCATCAGAGATTGAGAATTACTGTATTAGACCATCTACAACTTTGGTTCCAAACCTAGTTGGGTATCAGAATCACCTAAGATTTGTATATAAGGAATTGATGGGCTATCAGAGAGAGTATCATAATCGTTTATCTCTAGATATTTTCCCCTTCTCTGAGTATGTCTGTCTCCTTTGACTTGGTTTAATTTCTGCCTAGAATGAAGATTTTGAGGTTGGAACAAGTCAGCACCTATGAGCTGGTTTCAAGACCCTGGGGAAGCAAACTGAATAACATTACTGAAATGCTTTATGTAATGCTGTGCTTGCAAAAGTTGTACTGCTCTTTCACCAGAAATAGGTAATATTTTATGTTAAGTATTGTAATCATTTCCTCCTTATTTCACATTATAATATTCTTCATACTATTTTCACTGCAGATAAACATATCAGTTACTAAATAATAATTTCTTATTAATCATCCCACAATTATAAGCTCATACAAGTCTTTTAATAGTCTGTCAGATAGGTTGGAATATCACCTGCATTTTGCACCTGAGCAAACTGAAGTTAAAATTTGTTCAGAGCAGCTACACTAGACCTTCTGTCACCTGGTTGCAACATTAGTGTTTTTCTACTCCAATATGTTCACTGTCTTCTTTGTGAAGAAGTAGAAACTTATTTCTTTTTATAAAAAAAGTCGGATTTCAAGTTCTAAATATGCAATTTATTTTCTGATGAATATTTCCCTTTAAGAAACAGAACGTTTGGAATAGTGAATATTCTAAGCAATCAGTCCTGCGCAATTTGTATAATCATTTTATATGTTAGCCATGTTTGTATTTTTCCACATGAAAACAACTGTCATGTTTAAAATACATTTCATGTAAAACTGCCAGCAGCACAGCTTTGAAATAGATTTTTATCCTATAGAAATGCAGAAGAGTTTAACAAAAATGAAGAAAAATCTGTCAAAGGGTTGTTTTTCCATGTTGGCATCGTAGGCACTTAATACCTGGTTCTTGAAAATAATAACAATGGGTGTTAGCATTCATGATACATGCACTTTGCTCATCAGGTGTGAATCAACAAGACACAATCTGACCTTCCTGTGCAGAAAAAAGATTTTATTTTGGAAAAGCCAAAAGGAGACTGGAGTGGTTACAGAAAGGGGTTTAATTACAGGTATTTAAAACATAAAATAATTGTTTAAAATCTTTTCACAGAGAAAACCTTGTCTGCTATCAGCTGTATTTTTTCCATGCTCTTTTCTACTTTTGTGGAGATCAACTCCTTTGTTATTCTCCCAAAATGTTTAAATAGACTGGAGCTGTAGTTTGAAAAACAATGAGAAATGCTAGAGCCTTATAAAACGTTAAACAGCTACAAGAACATGTCTAATTCTTTGAATACTATTTCATTTTAGAATGTAACATGAAGAGGAGAAGAGCTTGAACTGGGAGTTAAGACCTTATTTTTAGCCCTGATTCTGCCACAAACTTATTATATAACCTTTGGGCACTTCTCAGAGCCTGTATTTCCTCATGTGTGAAATGAAGGCATTAGGGTAGAATGATCTTCCCTCCCTGCCTGAACATTTCATAATGCTACATTTCTACATTTCTCAAGTTTAACCTTCATTCTACACTGAATATACCTAAAATTTTATGTAGATCCTCTCTTGAAAAATTATTTCGCTGCCACTAACACTGTTTTGCAAATTGTGGTCTTCAAACTTCCTTTTAACAGAACCACCTGGAATTTATATTAAAAATGCAGATTCTAGGACCTGCCCACGCATAAAGATCCAAAATCTTTATGAAGAGAGGGAGGATTCAAGAATATATGTATATATGTGTGTGTGTGTATATATATACACATATATGTATATATATAATATTTCTCAAAAGAAGACAAACAAGTGGCCAACATATATTTTTAAATGTTCAACATTGCTAATCATCAGAGAAATGCAATTTTTAAGAACTATCTCACAAAGTAAATTTTATTTTATCTTATTTTTAAATTTTTAAATTTCAATAGTTTAGGGGATCAGGTGGTTTTTGGTCACATGGATAAGTTATTTAATGGTGTAATGGTGATTTCTGAGATTTTGGGGCACCTGTCCCCTGAGCAGTGTGCACTGTACCCAATTTGTAGTCTTTTATTCTTCACCCACTTCCCATCTTTCCCCAGAATTCCCCAGAGTTCATTATGTCACTCATGCCTTTGCATCCTCATAGCTTGGCTCCCACTTATAAGTAAAAACATACAATGTTTAGTTTTCCATTCCTGAGTTACTTCACATAGAATAATGATACCAAATTCCATCCAGGTTCCTGCAAATGCCATTATTTTGTTACTTTTTTATGGCTAGTGTAGTATTCCATGGTATGTGTATATTTATATTTTTTCTTTATCCACTCATTGGTTGATGAACATTTAGGCTAGTTTCATATTTTTGCAATTGCAAATTGTGCTGCAATAAATATGTGTGTGCAAGTGTCTTTTTCATATAATGACTTATTTTCCTCTGGGTAGATATCCAGGAGTGGGATTGCTGGATCAAACGGTAGTTCTACTTTTAGTTCTTTAAGGAGTCTCCATATTGTTTTCAATACTGGTTGTACTAGTTTACATTCCCACCAGCAGTGTAAAAGTGTTCCCTTTTCGCCACATCCGCATCAACATTTATTATTTTTTCAATTTTTAAAATTATGTCCATTCTTGCAGGAGTAAAGTGGTATTGCAATAGGTTTGATTTGCATTTCCCTGATTATTAGTGATGTTGAGTATTTTTTAATATATTTGTTGATCATTTGTGTACCTATTTTTGAGAATTGTCTATTCGTGTCCTTAGCCCACTTTTTGATGGAATTATTTTATATTTTTCTTGCTGATTTGTTTCAGCTCCTTGTAGATTCTGATATTAGTCCTTTGTTTGATGCATAGTTTGGGAATATTTTCTCCCATTCTCTGGATTGTCTGTTTACTCTTCTGATTATTTCTTTTGCTGTGCAGAAGCTTTTTAGTTCAATTAAGTCTATTTATCTTTGTTTTTGATGCATTTGCTTTTGGGTTCTTGGTCATGAACTCTTTGCCTAAGACAATATCCAGAAGAGTTTTTCCAATGTTATCTTCTAGAATTTTTACAATTTTAGGTCATAGATTTAAGTCTTTGATCCTTCTTGAGTTAATTTTTGTATAAGGTGAGAGATGAGGATCCAGTTTCATTCTTCTACATGTTGCTTGCCGATTATCCCAGCATCATTTGTTGAATAGAGTGTCCTTTCTCCACTTTATGTTTCTGTTTGCTTTGTTGAAGATCAGTTGGCTATAAGTATTTGGCTTTATTTCTGGGTTCTCTATTCTGTCACGTTGGTCTATGTGCCTATTTTTACACAAGTACCATGCTGTTTGGTGACTATAGCCTTGTAGTATAGTTTGAAGTTGGGTAATGTGATGCCTCTAGATTTGTTCCTTGGCAGTATGGTCATTTTCACACTATTGATTCTACCCGTCCATGAGTATGAGATGTGTTTCCATTTGTTTGTGTCACCTGTGATTTCTTTCAATAGTGCTTTGTAGTTTCCCTTGTAGAGGCCTTTCTCCTCCTTGGTTAGCTACATTCCTAAGTATTTTATTTTATTTTATTTTTTGCAGCTATTGTAAAAAGGGTTGAATTCTTGATTTGATTCTCAGCTTGGTTGTTGTTGTTTTATAGTAGCACTACTGATTAGTGTGCATTGATTTTGTATCCTGAAACTTTACGGAATTCATTTATCAGATCTAGAAGCTTTTTGAATGAATCTTTAGGGTTTTCTAGGTATACGATCATATCACTGGTGACGGTTTAACTTTCTCTTTACTGATCTGGTTGCCTTTTATTTCCTTTTTATTTATTTGTTTGCTCTGGCTAGGACTTCCAGTACTACGCTGAATAGAAGTGGTGAAAGTAGGCATCCTTGTCTGTTTTGATTCTCATGGGGAATGCTTTCTTCCTTTCCCTGTTCGGTGTAATGTTGGCTGTGGGTTAGTCATAGATGGCTTTTATTATGTTAAGACATGTCTCTTCTATGCCGATTTTGCTGAGTTTTAATCATAAACAGATACTAGATGTTGTCAAATGCTTTTTCTGCATCTACCGAGATGATCATATGATTTTTGTTTTTAATTCCATGTATTGTGGTGTATCATTTTTGTTGACTCATGTATGTTAAACCATCCCTGCATCCCTGGTATGAAAGCCACTTGATCATGGTGTATTATCTTTTTGATATGCTGTTGGATTCAGTTAGCTTGTATTTTGTTGAGGATTTTAGCATCTATGTTCATCAGGGATATTGGTGTGTAGTTTTCTGTTTTTGTTATGTCCTTTTCTGGTTTTGGTATTAGGGTGATACTGGCTTCATAGTACAAATTAAGGAGATTCCCTTTTTCTCTATATTTTTGAATAGTTTAAGTAAGATTGACACAAATTCTTCTTTGAATGTTTGATAGAATTCAGCTGTGAGGCCAGGCATGCTGGCTCACACCTGTAATCCCAGCACTTTGGGAGGCCAAGGAGGGTGAATCACTTGAGGTCAGGAGTTTGAGACCAGCTTATTGAATATTGCGAAACCTCGTCTCTACTAAAAATACAAAAATTAGCCAGGCATGGTGATGGGTGCCTATAATCCCAGCTACTCGGGAGGCTGAGGCAAGAGGATAACTTGAACCCAGGAGGTGGAGGTTGCAGTGAGCTAAGATCATGCCACTGGACTCCAGCCTGGGCAACAGAGCAAGACTCTGTCTGAAATAAATAAATAAATAAATAAATAAATAAGATTTTAGCTGTGAATCCATCTGGTCCTGGGTTTTTTTGTTATTGTTGTTGTTGGCAATTTTAAAATTACTGTTTCAATCTTGCTACTTGTTATTGGTCTGTTCAGAGTTTCTATTTCTTCCTGTTTTAATCTAGGAAGGTTGTGTATTTCCAGGAATTTATTTATTTCCTTGAGGTTTTCTAGTTTGTGCACATAAAGGTGTTCATAGTAACCTTGAATGATCTTTTGTATGTCTGTAGTATCAATTGTAATAACTCTTATTTCATTTCTAGTTGAGCTTTTTAAATCTTCTCTCTTCCTTTCCTGGTTAATCTTGCTAAAGGTCTATCAATTTTGTTTATCTTTTCAAAGAATCAGCTTTTTGTTTCACTTATCTTTTGTATTTTTTGTTTTAATTTCAATTAATTTCATTTAATTTCTGCTGTGATCTTTGTTATTTCTTTTCTTCTGCTGTGTCTGGGTTTGGTTTGTTCTTGTTTCTTTAGTTCCTTGAGGTGTGACTTTAAATTGTCTATTTGTGCTCTTTCAGACTTTTTAATGTAGGCATTTAATGCTATAAACTTTCCTCTTAGCATTGCTTTTGCTGTACCCCAGAGGTTTTGATAGGTTGTGTCACTATCATCATTCAGTTCAAAGAATTTTTAAATTTTCATTTTGATATCATTATTGACCCAAAGGTCATTCAGGAGCAGATTGTTTAATTTCCATGCATTTGTATAGTTTTCAGGGTTCCTTTTGGAGTTAATTTCTAATTTTATTCCACTGTGGTCTGAGAGGGTACTTGATATAACTTCAATTTTCTTAAATTTATTGAGACTTATTTTCTAGCCTATCATATGATCTATCTTGCAGAATGTTCCATGTGCTGATGAAAAGAATGTATATTCTGCAGTTGTTGGGTAGAATGTTCTATAAATATCTGCTAAGTTCAATTCTTGTAGTGTATAGTTTAAATCCATTTTTTTTTTTGTTGACTTTCTGTCTTGATGACCTGTCTAGTGTTGTCAGTGGAGTATTGAAGTCCCTCACTATTATTGTGTTGCTGTCTATCTCATTTATTAGGTCTAGTAGTAATGGTTTAATAAATTTGGGAGCTCCAGTGTTAGATGCATATATATTTAGGATTGTGATATTTTCCTGTTGGACTTATCTTTTTACCATTATATAATATTCCTTCTTATGTTTTTTAACTGTTGTTGTTTTAATGTCTGTTTTGTCTGATATAAGAATAGCCATTTCTGCTCATTTCTGGTTTTTATTTGCATGGATTATCTTTTTCCACCCCTTTAAGTTTATGTGAGTCCTTATGTGTTAGGTGAGTCTCTTGAAGACAGCAAATACTTGGGTGGTGGTTTTATTAATCCATTATGCCATTCTGTATCTTTTAAGTGGAGCATTTAGGCCATTGACATTCAACATTAGTATTAAGATGTGAGGTACCATTCGATTCATCATGCTCATTGTTGACTGAATACCTTGGTTTGTTTTTATCATTGTGCTATTGTTTTATAGGCCTTGCATGAGATTTATGTTTAAGGAGGTTTGCTGGATACAAAATTATTGGCTGATAATTACTTTCTTTGAGGAGGCTAAAGATAGGACCCCAATCCCATCTGGCTTGAAGGGTTTCTGCTGAGAAATCTGCTATTAATCTGATAGGTTTTTCTTTATCTTAAAAAGCTCTTAAGATTCTTTCCTTTATCTTAACTTGAGACAATCTGATGACTATGTGCCTAGGTGATTATCTTTTTGCAATGAATTTCCCAGATGTTCTTTGAGCTTCTTGTATTTGGATGTCTAGCTCTCTAGCAAGGCCAGGGAAGTTTTCCTCACTTATTCCCTCAAATATGTTTTTCAAATTTTTAGATTTCTCTTCTTTCTCAGGAACATCAATTATTCTTAAATTTGGACATTTAACATAATCCCAAATTTCTTGGAGGCTTTGTTCATTTTTTTAAATTCTTTTTTCTTTGTCTGTCTTGGATTGGGTTAATTCAAAAGCCTTGTCTTCAAGCCAAAAGTTCTTTCTTCTACTTGTTCTAGTCTGTTGTTGATACTTTCCAGTGCATTTTTTATTTCTCTAAGTGTGTCTTTCATTTCCAGAAGTTGTGATTGTTTTTTCTTTATGATGTCTATTTCTCTGGAAAATTTTTCATCCATATTCTATATTATTTTTTAAATTTCTTTAAGTTGGTTTTCACTTTTCTCTGGTATCTCCTTGAGTAACTTAATACTCATCCTTCTGAATTCTTTATCTGGCAATTCAGGGATTTATTCTTGGTTTGGATCCACTGCAGGGGAGCTAGTATAATCTTTTGGGGGGTGTTATAGAACCTTGTTTTCTCATATTTCCAGAATTACTTTTCTGGTTTCTTCTATTTGCGTAGGCTATTCAGTGGAAAGATCTTGAACTCAAGGACTGCTGTTCAAATTCTTTTGTCCCATGGGGTGATCCCTTGATATGGTGCTCTCCTCCTTCCCCTAGGGAAATGGCTTCCTGAGAGCCAAACTGGAGTAATTGTTATTGCTCTTCTGGGTCTAGCCACCCAGCGGAGCTATCATGCTCTGGGCTGGTGCTGGGGAATCTTTGCAGAGTCCTGTGATGTGATCCATCTTCAGGTCTCCCAGCCATGGATACCAGCATCTGCTCTGGTGGAGGTGACAGGGGAGTGAAGTAGACTCTGTGAGAGTCCTTGATTGTAGTTTTGTTTAATATGCTGTTTTTCTTGAATACTGGTTATGCTAGCAGTGAAGTTGTCATGTAGACAGACTCATGACCTCTGTTTAGTCAGGATGTTGCAGGCAGTGGAATTAACTGTAGTTTTCTCTTTCCTTGGAGCAGGGTTATTCTGTTATGAGCTGCTGTAATGGCTTGAGTTGGTTGACCTCCATCCAGGAGGTGGCACTTTCAAGAGAGCACCAGCTGTGATAGTAGAAGGGGGACATAAGCTTGCCCTAAGTTGTCCAGGATAAGCATTCAGGTTTCTCAGGCAATGGGTGGGGCCATAAAGCTCCCAGGAGTTTATGTTTTTTGTCTTTGGCTACCAGAAGAGGTAGAGAAATACCGTCAGCTAGGGGCGGGGTTAGGTGGGTCTGAGCTCAGACTCTCCTTGGTCACAGCTTGCAGCAGCCACTCTGGGGGGTAGTGGGGCGTGGTTTTCAAGCCAATGGAGTTATGTTCTAAAGGGATTATGGCTGCCTCTGCTGCATCATACAGGTCACCAGGGAAGTTGGGGGAAGCCAACAGTGACAGGTCTCACCCAGCTCCCACACAGCCATCAAGGCTGGTCTTGCTCCTGTCATGCCTCACCAACAATTTATTTTCAGGTAGCCCATGCACAGGGCTCAGACCTTGCCCCAGGCAAGAAGCCTTCCAGCTAAGAAAGCTATCATCGCTTTCAGGTCTTGCCTCTCCCTGTCTGCACACACTGTTGGCTGCAGCTCCAGTGCTTGTATCTGCAGCATTTCCTGTTTAACCCTTGGATTCGGCTCAAGAAAATTTGAGCTTGGTTGAAATTATTACAAAGTTCAGTTGGAAGCTTCTTTCACCCTGTGACCCCTCCCTAGTTCCACTGGCTGCCTTCCTTAAGGAGCCCTGTGAGATAAAGTCAGGGGTGGCTTCCCTGGGCTCAAGCTGGGAAGTGAGAGTGCCTACAAGGCTCTTTCTATTGCTTCTTCTACTTTAATATTTTGCTTGGCTCCCTAAGTCTATTATATCCTTCCCCTATTATGTGAATTTTCAGGTTCCCCACTGGAGATGTGTGTTTGGAGGCAGGTTTTTCCCTCTCATGCTTTGGGAACTCACTTTTTCAGCTGTCTCACAGAGTTTTCAGTGGTAAGTTGCTTCTTCCGCAGGACCCGTGAACTTTTTCAGTCTTCCTGGCATGTTCCTGTGGTGGTTCTTGGAGCAAAAGTTCATGGCGTGAGTCTCCACACGCTGTTCCGTCCATCCAAGTAGGAGCTGAATGTTAGTCATGACTCCTATCCACCATTTTCCAGAGAAATGCAAATTAATACCACAATAAGTTATTACCTCACACTTATTAGATTGGCTATCACAAAAAAAAGAAAGATAACAAGTATTGGTGAGGATGTGGAGAAAAGGGAACCCTTGTACATTGTTGTAGCATTGTAAATTAGTACATTTTAGAAAACAGTATGGAGATTCCTTAAAAAACTAAAAATAGCATTATCACATAACTCAGAAATCCCACTCCTGGGTATATATCCAATATAGTGTATAGTATATTCAATATAGTGTATCCAATATAGAGTATAATATATCCAATATAGTATATAGTGAATATAGTGGTAGCCAGGAAGTGGTTAATGTGGGCCTTGGGCAAAACCCAGTACCTTGCTGATTTCACGTATGACCCAGCACAGTCCTAGTGGTGGTTGCCACATGGGTGCTTGTGTCACCCTTCCCCCAGCTCCAGGCAGCTCAGAGAGTGGTTCCATTTGCTTAGAAGAAAGTAAGGGAAGAGAATAAGAGTCTCTTCCTGGTAATCCAGGAAATTCTTCCAGATCTTATCCAAGACCATAAAGGTGATAACTCTACAAGACTGCAAGAGCTGTACCATTACTGGGCTTGGGAAGTATCTAATGCACATATGGCTGCAGTGACAAAAAGCTTAGATTACAATATTCAGGTCCCTTCAAATACCTGCAAAGCAGTCCCAAAGACAGGTACAAATAAGCCGAGACTGCAAAGACTGCAATAAGTACTTAGTTCTTCAATGCACAGAGACTATGAACATTAACAAGCGTTAGGACCATCCACGAAAATATGAACTCATCGAACAAACTAAATAAGTCACCATGGATCAATTCTGAAGGGAGACATGTGTGACTTTTCAGAAAATTGAAAATAACTGTTTTGAGGAAACTCAACAAAATTCAAGATAACAGAGAGAAGGAATTTAGAATCCTATTAGATAAATTTAACATATTGAAATAATTAAAAATAATCAAGAAGAATTCTGCCATTGAAAAATGCAATTGACATACTAACGAATGCATCAGTCTATTAACAACAGAATTGATCAAGCAGAAGAAAGAATTAATGAACTTGAGGACAGGCTATTTCAAAATAGACAGAGAAGACAAAAGAAGAAAAGAATATAAAAGAATAAAGCATGCCTATAAGGTCTAGAAAATAGCCTCAAAAGGACAAATCTAAGAGTTATTGGCTTTAAAGAGGAGAAGAGAGAAAGATTGGGGTAGGAAGTTTATTCAAAGGGATAATAACAGAGAACTTCCCAGAACTAGTGAAAGATATCAATATTTAAGTACGAGAAGATTATAGAACACCAAGCAGATTTAACCCAAAGAAGACTACCTCAAGGTATTTATATAATTGAATTCCCATAAAGATAAAGGGTCCTAAAAGTAGCAAGAGAAAAGAAATAAACAATATAAAATGGAGGTCAAATATGTCTGACAGCAGACTTTTCAGTGGAAACATTACAGGCCAGGAGAGAGTGGCATGACAGGAAAGAATGCTGAGGAAAAACCCTTTTCTCCTAGAATGATCTATCCAGCTAAAATATCCTTCAAATATGAAGAATAGACTTTCCCAGACAAACAAAAGTTGAGGCATTTCATCAACACCAGACTTGACCTGCAAGGAATGCTAAAGGGGTTCTTCAATCCAAAAGAAAAGGACATTAATAAGCAATAAGAAATCATGTGAAGGTGCAAAACTCACTGGTAATAGTAAGTACACAGAAAAACACAGAATAGTATAACACTGTAATTTTGGTGTGTGAACCACTCGTATCTTGAGTAAAAAGACTAAAAGATGAACCAATCAAAAATAATGACTACAACAACTTTTGGCTCAAGCCTGTATTCCCAGCACTTTGGGAGGCCAAAGTGGGCTGATCACCTGAGGTCAGGAGTTCAAGACCAGCCTAGCCAACATGGTGAAACCCCGTCTCTACTAAAAATACAAAAATTAGCCAGATGTGGTGGCAGGTGCCTATAATCCCAGCTATACTGGAGGCTGAAGTAGGATAATCACTTGAACCCAGGAGGCAGAAGTTGCAGTGAGCTGAGATTGTGCCACTGCACTCCAGCCTGGTTGACAGAGGGAGACTCCATCTCAAAAACAAACAAACAAACAAAAATTTAAAAAGGGAGAGGGGGCAAAGTTAAAGTGTAGAATTTTTATTAGTTTTCTCTTTGCTTATTTGTTTTTATGCAATGAATATTAAGTTTTCATTATTTAAAATAATGGGTTATAAAATATCATTTGCAAGCCTCATGGTAGCTTAAAATCAAAAAATATACAAGAGATACACAAAAAATAAAAAGCAAGAAATTAAATCATACCATGAGGGCAAATCACTTTTACTAAAAGGAAGGAGAAAAGAAGGAGAAGACTACAGAACAATCAGAAAATAAATCACAAAATGGCAGGAGTAAGTCTTTACTTATCAATAGTAACGTTGAATATAAATGGACTAAATCTTCCAATCAAAAGACAGAGAATGACTAAATGGATTAAAAAAGAAGGCCCAATGATCCTTTGCTATGAGAACATACTTTACATATAAAGACATACATAGACTGAAAACAAAGAGATGGAAAAAGATATTCCATGCAAAAGGAAACCAAAAAAGAGCAGGCGTAGCTATATTTTATCAGACAAAATACATTTCAAGACAAAAATCTATTTAAAAAAAGACAAAGAAGGTCATTATATAATGATAAAAAATCAATTCAGAGAGAGAATATAACAATTTTAAATATATATTCATCCAACAAGGGAGCCCTCAGATATATAAAGCAAATATTATTAGAGCTAAAGAGAGAGATAGACCCTAATACAATAATAGCTGGAGACTTCAACACCCCACTTACAGCATTGGCCAGATTATCCAGACAGAAAATCAACAAAGAGCTTTGGACTAAATCCGCACTATGGACCAAATTGATCTAATAGATGTTTAATGAACATTTCACCCAGTGGCTGCAGAATACACATTCTTCTCCTCAGCACATGGATCATTCTCAAGGATAGACCATATGTTAGGCCACAAAACAAGTCTTAACATTTTCTTGAAAAAAAGGAATTATATCAAGCATCTTCTCTGACCACAATATAATAAAACTAGAAATCAACAATAAGAGAAATTTTGGAAACTATACAAACACATGGAAATTAAACAATATCCTCCTGAATGACCAGTAGGTCAATGAAGAACTTAAGAGGAAAATTTAAAAATTTCTTGAAACAAATTATAAAGGAAACACAACATATCGAAACCTATAGGATACAGCAAAAGCAGTACTATAAGTGCCTACATCGAAAAGATAGAAAAACTTTAAATAAACAACCTAAGAATGCATCTTATGGAACTAGAAAAGTAAGAGCAAGCCAAACCTAAAATTAGTAGGAGGAAAGAAATAATAAAGATCAGAGCAGAAATAGATGAAATTGAAACAAGGAAAATAATACAAACTATCAAAGAAATGAAAAGTCGGTTTTTTGAAGAGATTTAAAAAAATCAACAAACCTATAGTCAGACTAAGAAAAAAAAGAGAAGACCCAAATCAATAAAATCAAAGTTGAAAAAGGAGACATTACAACCAATACCATAGAAATTCAAAAGATAATTAGAAGCTATTATGAGCAACTATATATCAATAATTTGGAAAATCTAGAAGAAATGGATAATTTCTTAGACATATACAAGCTACCAAGATTGAATCATGAAGAAATCCAAAACCTGAACAGAAAAATAACAAGTAACAAGATTGAAGATGTAATAAAAATTCTCCCAGCGAAGAAAAGTCCAGGACCCAATGGCTTCACTTCTGAATTCTATCAAACATTAAAAGAACTTAATACCAATCCTTCTCAAACTATTCTGAAAAATAAAGGAGGAGGGAATACTTCAGAAACTCATTCTATGAGGCCAGTATTATCCTGATACAAAAACCAGACAAAGACACATCAAAAAAGAAACTACAGGCTAATATCCCTGATGAACATTGATGTAAAAATCCTCAACAAAATACTTGCAAATCAAATTCAACAATACATTAAAAGATCATTCACCATGATGAAATGGGATTTATCCCAGTGATGCAAAAATTGTTCAACATACAGAAATTATTCAATATGATACATCATATCAACATAATGAAGAACAACAACCATATAATCATTTCAATTGATGCTAAAAGAGCATTTGATAAAATTCAACATCACTTCATGTTAAAAACCCTCAGAAAACTGGATGTAGAAGGAATATACCTCAACATAATAAAAGCCATATATGACAGACCCACAGCTAGTATACTACTGAATGGGAAAAATTAAAAGCCTTTTCTCTAAGATCTGGAGCATGACAAGGATGCCAACTTTCATCACTGTTATTCAAAATAATACTGTAAGTCCTACCTAGAGCAATCAGACAAGAAAAAGAAAGCACATCTACATTAAAAAGGAAGAGTCAAATTATTCTTCTGTGCAAATGATATGGTATTATATTTGGAAAAATCTAAAGATGTTACCAAAAAGCTATTAGAATTGATCAACAAATTCAGCATAGTGCCAGGATACAAAGTCAACATAAAAAATTACTAGCATTTCTACTTGCCAACGACAAACAAAGTGAAAAAGAAATCAAGAAAGTAATCCCATTTATAATAACTACAAAGAAAATAAAATACCTAGGAATTAACATAACCAATGAAGTGAAAGATCTCTACAATGAAAACTGTAAATCACTGCTGCAAGAAATTGAAGAGGACATCAGAAAAAATGAAAACATATTCCATGTTCATGGATTGGAAGAGTCAATATTGTTAAAATTACCACACTACACAAAGCAATTTACAGATTCAATGCAATCCTTATCAAATACCACTGACATTCTTCACAGAAAGAGAAAAAACAATCTTAAAACTTGTATGGAACCACAAAGAGCCAGAATAGCCAATGCTATCCTGAGCAAAAAGAATGAAACTGGAAGAATCACATTACAAAGGATTATTAGAAGCTATTATGAGCAACTATATATTAATAATTTGGAAAATCTAGAAGATAAATTTATTGCCAAGCTTAACTCTTTCAAAGAAGTCATTGAAGTATTTTCATACATTTGCTTATTGCCCAGCAAGGACAGGTGGCAGGGCCAGGGCTCAGTGTCTGGCACCCTCACAGCTGGAGACAGAGGCTCTCCTGGGGCTGGTGTCTCAGGAACAGGGGGTCTGTGCCTAGAGCTGGGCTGCAGCCCCTGCAGGCAGCTGTTGAACACTGGAGGGCCGCCTGGACCACATGGGATGGGCTCCTGAGGACATGGGGCAGTAATTTTGTTCTGTAGTGTGTGGCATGTGTGGAGGCAGGTGAGGCCCAAGCTTGGAAACCCAGGCCTTCCTGTTCACTCTGAGCTGCTTCCTGAGGCAGGTGTTCAAGCAAGGCTGCAGGGGCAGTGGTGGGGCCAAGTGTGACCATTTGCTAAATAAAGTGAAATATGCAACCTCAAATATATATAGATATATATAGATATATATAGATATATATAGATATATATAGATATATATATAGATATATATATAGATATATATAGATATATATATAGATATATATATAGATATATATAGATATATATATAGATATATATATAGATATATATAGATATATATATAGATATATATAGATATATATAGATATATATAGATATATATATAGATATATATAGATATATATAAATATATAGATATATATAGATATATATAGATATATAGATATATATATATCTGTCTCATGTCATGAAAAAAATTCAAATTATACTACAAAGCTACAGTAAACAAAACAGCATGGTACTGGTATAAAAACAGACATGTAGATCATTGGAACAGAATAGAAATCTGAGAAACTTATTTCCAACAAAGTTCCAAGAACACACACTGGGGAAAGAACAGTCCTTTCAATAAATGGTCTGAGAAAAATTGGATGTCCATATACTGGAGAATGAAACTAGACCCTATCTCTCACAATATACAAAAATCAAATCAAGGTGAATTAAAAACTTAAAACTAAGACTTCAAACTATAAAACTACTCAAAGAAAACATCCTCTAGGACATTGGTCACAGCGAATATTTCTTGAATAATACCACACACACATAAGCAACCAAAGCTAACATGTACACATGGTATCACATCAAGTTAAAAAGCTTCTGCAAAGCAAAAGAAACAATCAACAAAGTGAAAAGACAACTCACAGAATGGGAGATAATCTTTGCAAACTATCCATCTGACAAGGGATTAATAACCAGAATATATAAAGAGCTCGAAAAACTCAATAGAAAAAAAATCTAATAATCCAATTAAACAAGTGGCAAAATATCTGAATAGACATTTCTCAAAATAAGACATACAAATGGAAAACAGATGTATGAAAAGGTGCTCAACATCATTAATATTCTGAGAAATGCAAATCAAAACTACAAGAAGATATCATCTCACTCCAGTTAAAAGGGCTTTTATCCAAAATACAAGTTATAACAATACTGGCAAAGATGTGCAAAAAAGGAAACCCTCATACACTGTTGGTGGGAATGTAAATTAGTACAACTGCTATGGAGAACAGTTTGAGATTTCCCAAAAAACTAAAAATAAAGCTACCATATGATCCAGCAATGCCACTGCTAGGTATATAACCGAAAGAAAGGAAATCAGTATATAGAAGAGATACCTGCACTCCCATTTTTATTGCAGCACTATTCACAATAGGCAAGATTTGGAAGCAACATTAAGTGTTCATCAGCAGATGAATGGATAGAGAAAATGTGGTACATATACACAATTGAGTACTACTCAGCCATAAAAAAGAATGAGATCCAGTCATTTGTAGCAACATGGATAGAATTGGAGATCATTATGTTAAGTAAAATAAGCCAGGCACAGAAAGACAAATTTCACATGTTCTCATGTCTTTGTGGGAGCTAAAAATTAAAGCAATTAAACTCATGGAGATAGAGAGTAGAACAATGATTACTGAGGCTGGAAAGGGTAGTGAAGAGAAAGGGGGCATGGTTAATGGTACAAAAATATAGTTAGGTAGAATGACTAAGAGCTAGTATTCGATAGCACAAGAAGGTGTCTACAGCCACCAGTAATGTATTGTACATTTTAAAATAACAAAAGAAGCCAGGAATGGTGGCCCACATCTGTAATGCCAGCGCTTTGGGAGGATGAGGCAGGCGGATCACCTGAGGTCAGGAGTTCGAGATCATCCTGGCCAACATGGTGAAACCCCATCTCTACTAAAAATACAAATTAGCCAGGCTTGGTGGCATGCACCTATAATCCCAGCTACTCAGGAGGCTGAAGCAGGAGAATCACTTGAACCCAGAAGGTGGAGATTGCAGTGAGTCAAGATCGTGCCACTGCACTCCAGCCTGGGTGACAGAGCGAGACTTTGTCTCAAAATTAATTAATTAATTAATTAACCAAAAGAGTGTAGATTTTTGTAACACAAAAAAAGGATAAATGCTTGAGGTGATGGATATTCCGTATATCCTGATATGATTATTATGCATTGTATCCCTGTATCAAAATATCTGATGTACCCCATAAATATACACACCTACTATGTACCCACAAAATTAAAAATTAAAAAAAAAAAGAGCCTGGCTTCTGCCTGACCACTTGCTTTCTCTCTCACCATGTGATCTCTACATACTGCTCTCCTTTGCCATCTCCCATGAGCAGAAGTAGCTTGAGGCTCTTATCAGGTGCAGATGCCCAATGTTGTACTTTCTGGCCATGAGAATTGTGAGCCAAATAAACTATTTTTCTTTCTAAATTGCCCAGCCTCAGATATTTCTTTATAGCACACAAAACAGACTAAGACAAAGGATACAAAATTTTAGTTAGACAGGAGAAATCGGTTCTGGTGGTCTAGTGATTATGGTTAATAATATATTGTATATTTCAAAATAGTTAAAATAATGGATTTTAAATGTTCTCACTACAAATAAATGATAATTACTTGATAGATATGGTAGTCTGATTTGATCATTTCACAATGTGTACATGTTATGGAAAAATCACATTGTATCCCATAAACATATACAATTATTACTTGTCAATTTAAATATACATATTAAATATATAATAATATATATTTATATGTCTAATGACATATAGTGTTTATATATATGTGGGTGTGTATATATATATATGTCTAACGAGTTCCTTGGTGATCCTTATTTCTTCTAAAGTTTGAAAACAACTGAAAAACCAAGAAAGGAAAACCTTAGAAGATAAGAGGGGACAGTAATAGAGCAACAGTGATAATTGCTACCTAGTTTGGGATGAGGAAGAAATAGGTGGAGAGGAAAGAGGTGGAGAGGGTACTCCTAAAGAAGGCATTTCTTTGTTAACATTTCTTGCACTGGGATCCTTGTTTGCACAGACTGAGATCTGCACTGATTATGAGAACTGGTTGCACAAAATTGCCCTGAAATCATAGCATCACCTGATATATTGGGTCTGTAGCTTTTGTTTTCCATGATATTCAAAGTCGGAGAAGCTGGTTGTGATTATGTCTAATGAATGAGGAAATGGCCTTCCTGAAAAGGCAGTGAGAAAACTGAAGTATATGATGATCATTTAAGACAATCATTTTTTAAACAGTAGAAATAAACTATTTGTTAAATTAAAATATATTATCTTCATGCTTGGGATTTTACTCAAATTTTATTTATCCTGTTTTGGGGGTTGTTTACTAGAATGTTTAGGCTAGATCATTTACGAAAATTCATGGGAAAACACATTCTTTTTTTTTTATACTTTCAGTTCTAGAGTACATGTGCACAACGTGCAAGTTTGTTACATATGTATACATGTGCCATGTTGGTGTGCTACACCTGTAACTCATCATTTACATTAGGTATATCTCCTAATGCTATCCCTCCTCCCTCCCCCAACCCCACGACAGGCCCCAGTGTGTGATGTTCCCCACCCTGTGTCCAAGTGTTCTCATTGTTCAATTCCCACCTATCAGTGAGAACATGCAGTGTTTGGTTTTCTGTCCTTGCGATAGTTTGCTCAGAATGATGGTTTCCAGCTTCATCCATGTCCCTACAAAGGACATGAACTCATCCTTTTTTATGGCTGCATAGTATTCCATGGTGTATATGTGCCACATTTTCTTTTTCTTTTTTTTTAATTTATTATTATTATATTTTAAGTTTTAGGGTACATGTGCACAATGTGCAGGTTAGTTACATATGTATACATGTGCCATGCTGGTGCACTGCACCCACTAACTCGTCATCTAGCATTAGGTATATCTCCCAATGCTATCCCTCCGCCCTCCCCCCACCCCACCACAGTCCCCAGAGTGTGATGTTCCCCTTCCTGTGTCCATGTGGTCTCATTGTTCAATTTCCACCTATAAGTGAGAACATGCGGTGTTTGGTTTTTTGTTCTTGCGATAGTTTGCTGAGAATGATGATTTCCAATTTCATCCATGTCCCTACAAAGGACATGAACTCATCATTTTTTATGGCTGCATAGTACTCCATGGTGTATATGTGCCACATTTTCTTAATCCAGTCTATCATTGTTGGACATTTGGGTTGGTTCCAAGTCTTTGCTGTTGTGAATAATGCCACAATAAACATACGTGTGCATGTGTCTTTATAGCAGCATGATTTATAGTCCTTTGGGTATATACACAGTAATGGGATGGCTGGGTCAAATGGTATTTCGAGTTCTAGATCCCTGAGGAATCGCCACACTGACTTCCACAATGGTTGAACTAGTTTACATTCCCAACAGTGTAAAAGTGTTCCTATTTCTCCACATCCTCTCCAGCACCTGTTGTTTCCTGACTTTTTAATGATTGCCATTGTAACTGGTGTGAGATGGTATCTCACTGTAGTTTTGATTTGCATTTCTCTGATGGCCAGTGATGGTGAGCATTTTTTCATGTGTTTTTTGGCTGCATAAATGTCTTCTTTTGAGAAGTGTCTGTTCATGTCCTTCACCCAATTTTTGATGGGGTTGTTTGTTTTTTCTTGTAAATTTGTTTCAGTTCATTGTAGATTCTGGATATTAGCCCTTTGTCAGATGAGTAGATTGTGAAAATTTTCTCCCATTTTGTAGGTTGCCTGTTCACTCCAATGGTAGTTTCTTTTGCTGTGCAGAAGCTCTTTAGTTTAATTAGATCCCATTTGTCAATTTTGGCTTTTGTTGCCATTGCTTTTGGTGTTTTAGACATGAAGTCCTTGCCCATGCCTATGTCCTGAATGGTTATGCCTAGGTTTTCTTCTAGGGTTTTTATGGTTTTAGGTCTAATGTTTAAGTCTTTAATCCATCTTGAATTGATTTTTGTATAAGGTGTAAGGAAAGGATGCAATTTCAGCTTTCTACATATGGCTAGCCAGTTTTCCCAGCACCATTTATTAAATAGGGTATCCTTTCCCCATTGCTTGTTTTTGTCAGGTTTGTCAAAGATCACATAGTTGTAGATGTGTGCTATTATTTCTGAGGGCTCTGTTCTGTTCCTTTGGTCTATATCTCTGTTTTGGTACCAGTACCATGCTGTTTTGGTTACTGTAGCTTTATAGTATAGTTTGAAGTCAGGTAGCATGATGCCTCCAGCTTTGTTCTTTTGGCTTAGGATTTACTTGGCAATGTGGGCTCTTTTTTGGTTCCATATGAACTTTAAAGTAGTTTTTTCCAATTCTGTGAAGAAAATCATTGGTAGCTTGATGAGGATGGCATTGAATCTATAAATTACCTTGGGCAGTATGGCCATTTTCACAATATTGATTCTTCCTACCCATGAGCATGGAATGTTCTTCCATTTGTTTGTGTCATCTTTTATTTTATTGAGTAGTGGTTTGTAGTTCTCCTTGAAGAGGTCCTTCACATCCCTTGTAAGTTGTATTCCTAGGTATTTTATTCTCTTCTAAGCAATTGTGAATAGGAGTTCACTCATGATTTGGCTCTGTTTGTTTCCTATTGGTGTATAGGAATGCTTGTGATTTTTGCACGTTGATTTTGTATCCTGAGACTTTGCTGAAGTTGCTTATCAGCTTAAGGAGATTTTGGGCTGAGACGATGGGGTTTTCTAAATATACAATCATGTCATCTGCAAACAGGGACAATTTGACTTCCTCTTTTCCTAATTGAATACCCTTTATTTCTTTCTCTTTCCTGATTGCCCTGGACATAACTTCCAATACTATGTTGAATAGGAGTGGTGAGAGAGTCATCCCTGTCTTGTGTCAGTGTTCAAAGGGAATGCTTCCAGTTTTTGCCCATTCAGTATGATATTGGCTGTGGGTTTGTCATAAATAGCTGTTATTATTTTGAGATATGTCCCATCGGGGAAAACACATTCTTTATCAGCATTTCATAGTGTGATTTTGCACTTCTATTGTGATATCTCTGTAGGTGTTTTGACAATGTTGCCTTTTTAGCACAAACAAACATGTATGCAAGATAGAAAGAGAAGCAAAAGTCTCATGCAGTGTCTCCAACTTCAGACATGTTTAAGATCAAGCCTCAGGCAATCCAACTTTTCTTTTGACAAGCCAAATGTCCTGTGTGAAAGGATACTGAACTGCTCAAGGAGTTTGGCTAAGTTTAAATCTCCCACATTATTTGAATGATGAGTTCAAGTATAGAAGCTGCTCTGGCTTGGAAGAATCTTTCATGAACTGCAGACTTGTGGGTGCATCCTAGCACAGGGTAGCATTGCATAGAAAGGGCCTGCAACCTTCTGGCTTTGCATCCATTGAAGTGTGAATTTCTAAAAATCATGGCAAGCAGGTCCCTCTGGTGACCTAGCTCCCAGTAAAGAATTGTCTTAGTAGAAAAGACACTAAAAGTAAATGGGAAATTGTGAACACAATATTTCTTTCCCCTTCTCCATGATTTCCTAAGCAAATGAACAACTTGCTTGGTGAGGCCTTTCCTGTCTGCTCAAACTTCTTCTCTATTTTTCTTTATAATATTTATACTTATTTAGTTTATTATCTATATCCACTTCTCTAGAACATAAGTTCCATGAAGTCATCGATTTCTTTCACTGCTTAGCCCCATGCCCAGAAAAGTTTCTGGCACTTAGTAGGTGCTCATTAAATACTTGTTTTAAAAAAAAATGAGTAAACTTAAGTTATTGCTTTCCCACATAACTTATAAAGGAATAATCAGTCTATTTTAAGTAGTTTTAGGATTGTGTCCCCAAAAATGAAAATAAAATACTAAGAGAGATGAACCAAGGTGGATTATTTATCTGACTGTTTCTGGCTTTCTGAAAGATTAGGTAACTTGGTCATTGACAGATTCTGCTCTGGAATTGGACTACCTTGGTTTCAATCCTGGTCTTGCTACTTAATAGCTGTGAAACCTCTAGCATGTTAACTTTTCTGTACTTCAATTTCCTCCTTTGTGAAGTGGGATAATAATAGAAAGGTAGTTCTGTGTATCAACGCTGTCTAAAGTGTTTGAAATTCCATCCTGCACATAGTATACAAAAATAATATCTGTGTTTGTTTTCCTTTGAATAATAAAAGTTATCTCTTCCATCAATGATGCTTTCAATAAACCATGAACACAGTTACATTTTTGTACTTAAGTCTGCATTTCTTGAAATATGTAGCTTCATGACCCTTATGAGAATCAGAAATCACAATTTTAGTGCAGAAAAATAAAAAGAGGAATAAAGGTGAGCCACTGTTTATACAATGAAATCCAGATCATAACAATAATGACAAAAATAACAACAATAATGTAACATTAGCTATGTTTAATATCTTATTTTAAATCTATTTATCCACCTTTCTACCTATCTATCCACCTATCCATCTATGTACATGTTTATCTACCTACCTACCTACCTAACTACCTACTTACCTATCTATCTAATATGGTTGGGATATTTGTCTCCTCAAAATCTCATGATGAAATGTGATCTCCAATGTTGGAGGTGGAACTTAGTGGGAGGTGTTTGGGTCATGGCAGCATATCGCTCATACATGGCTTCGTGCCCTCCCCATGGTAATGAGTGTGTTGTTACTATATTCATTCACAGGAGAACTGATTGTTCAGAGACTGACACCTCTTCCCTCTATCTTGCTCCCTCTCTTGCCATGTGACTTGCCTGCTCCCCTTTCACCTTCCACCATGAGTAAAAGCTTCCTGAGACTTCATCAGATGCTTAGCAGATGCTGGCACCATGCAGAACCATGAGCCAAATAAATCTCTTACTAAATTACTGAGCCTCCCGTATTCCTTTATAGCAATACAAAACAGGTTAACACATTATCCTACTGTACTTGTATGGCTTTATATTAAGAAGGTATTTATGAATGGATGTTTCTCTTTTAAAAGAATAAAACATCAAGGCTGAGCATGGTGGCTCACAGCTATAATCCCTGCCTTTGGGAGCCCGAGGCAAGCAAAAGGCTTGAGCCCAGGAATTTGACACCAGCCTGCTCAACATGGTGAAACCCTGTCTCTACAAAAAATACATAAAGGAGCTGGGCATGATGGTTCATGCCTGTAGTACTTGGTAGTACTACAAGTAGCTACTTGGGAGGCTGAGGTGGGAGGATCACTTGAGCCCAGAAGGTGAAGCTTGCAGTGAGCGGAGATCATGCCATTCACTCCAGCCAGAGCAACAGAGCAAGCCCTT
Organism: Homo sapiens; assembly: GCF_000001405.40. NCBI lineage: Eukaryota > Metazoa > Chordata > Mammalia > Primates > Hominidae > Homo > Homo sapiens. Next base: position 168,614 of record NW_013171802.1, on the reverse strand, counting down.
GTTTAAAAAAAAAGAAAGAAAGAAAGAAAGAAAGAGGGATAGAGAGAGAGAGAGAGAGAGAAAGAAAGAAAAGAAAGAAAGAAAGAAAGAAAGAAAGAAGGAAAGAAAGAAAGAAGAAAGAAAGAAAGAAAGAAAGAAAGAAAGAAAGAAAGAAAGAAAGAAAGACAGAAAGAAAGAAAGAAAAAGAAAGAAAGAAAGAAAGAGAAAGAAAGGAGCACCAAACATACATACATATAGCATTAGTTTGTGTCAGGTATTATTCTAAGCACTTATGTATAATTTCTCATTTGTCAGTGTAAACTGTGGGAAAGAGAGTTTCTGGGATGCCAGCTGAGTTGGTCTCCCCTGTGTGAGACACCCATGGGAAGCCATGGCGACCTCTGAGGAGAAAAGTCTCCTTATTGCCTTCATGTCTTTATGCCCAGAGAGCATAATCGCTCAGCGGGATTCCACAGGTTGCTCAGGGAGATAACACTCCCTTGAAGCAGTGGAGTATAATCAAACACCTTGGCTCCTCCTGAAACCTGCTCCCACCTGTTTCAGTTCCGATAAGTTAAAGATCTTAAGTAGTTTAGACACACGCCTTTGCTCAAGGAAATTCACAGAAGCCGCCACTGCTGTACATCTTATAGAATGACTCACGAGTTCTCCTCCACTGATTCATCCTTTTCCTCATCCCTTCCTCCCAACTCCCATCTGCCCGAAGAACAAACAGCTTGTAAACCAATAAATTGTGGGGAGCCCGAGAGCTCTGGGCCGCGAGCAAGCCTCCGATGCTCCGGTCCTCTGGACCCGCCTTTTAAATGCTTATTCTGTCTCTTTCTAACTCCTTTGTCGCCCCGGGACTCGGGGTACCCGCTGGGTGGTGTGGGGCTGGTTTCCTCAACATAAACCACCATGCATTCTCTTGCTACTTTCAAAATTATTTTTAAATATTTGAAATTCGGCTGGGAGCAGTGGCTCACGTCTGTAACCCCAGCACTTTGGGAGGCCGAGGTGGGCGGATCACCTGAGGTCAGGAGTTTGAGACCAGCCTGGCCAACATGGTGAAACTCTGTCTCTACTAAAAAAAAAAAATTAGCTGGGTATGGTGGTGGGCACCTGTAATCCCAGCTACCCAGGAGGCTGAGGCAGGAGAATTGCTTGAGTCCGGGAGGCAGAGGTTGTGGTGAGCCGAGATCACATCACTGCACTCCAGCCTGGGCGACAAGAGCAAGACTCCATCTTAAAAAAAAAAAAAAAAAATTACATTCAGAAACACACTGACATGGTTTGGCTCTGTGTCCTCACCCAAATCTCATCTCATACTGTGATCCCCACGTGCAGCCAAACTGGCTGGAAATACTGAAGGGTTTATATTGAAGAACCCATTTTGTGCAAAAATCAAACCAGAAAACAAAGACATCCCCACAAATTAGTATTCAGCCCTGATATGGTTTGGCTCTGTGTGCCCACCCAAATCTCACCTTGAATTGTAATAATCCCCACATGTGAAGGGTGGGACCAGGTGGAGATAATTGAATCATGGGGGTGGTTTTCCCCATGCAGTTCTTGTGATAGTGAGTGAGTTCTCACGCAATCTGATGGTTTTTTAAAGGGCTTTTCCCCGTTTGCTTCTCACTTGTCTCTCCTGCCGCCCTGTGAAGAAGGACGTGTTTGCTTCCCCTTTCGCCATGACTATAAGCTACCTGAGGCTTTCCCAGCCTTGCAGAACTGTGAATCAATTAAACCTCTTTCCTTTATAAATTACCCAATCTAGGTATTTATTCATAGCAGTGTGGGAATGGACTAATACAAGCCTTGAGGAAGAATCAACCTTGTATCTTTTCTCTGGCTTTTGGAATCTGTTTGTGCCTCACTTGCTATGGTCTAAATGTCTGCCCCCTTCCAAATTCATATGCTGAAATCCTAATCCTCAAGGTGACAGTATTACGAGGTAAGGCCTTTGGGAGGTGATTATATTGTAAGAGCATATCCCTCACTATTAGGAATCATGCCCTTCTTAAAGACCATAGAGAGCTAGCTAGCCCCTTCCACCATGTGAGGACACATGGAGAAGGTGCCATCTATGAATCAGGAAATAGACCTCTACCAGACACCTAGTCTGCCAGTGAGATGTTGGGGAATGGAGGCAGGACTTTAGTCATTTTGAGGAATATAAAATAAAATAGTCCAAGATGGCTAGAGAGGTTAGGGATGTCTTAACTGGAATAGTTGGGTTTCAGTTGCATTGTTTAATTAATACTGACACCCACTGTGATGAACTTTCACTGTTAACTTAGAATGTAGAAACAGGGTCATGTGAATCTTATATGAATCAGTCAGAACAAACAAGAACGATAACATTAAGATTAGCTATTCATGAAAATGTGTCTATTAGTCTCTTTCACACTATTATAAAGATACTACCTGAGACTGGATAATTTATAAAGAAAAGAAGTTTAATTGACTCACAGTTCTGCATGGCTGGGGAGACCTCAGGAAACTCACAATCATGGCAGAAGGCAAAGGAGAAGCAAATAGCTTCTTCACAAGGCATCAGGAGAGAGAGAAAGAGAAGGGGGAAGCACCAGAAACTTATCAAACAACTAGATCTCGTGAGAACTCATGCACTATCATGAGAACAGCAAGGGGGAAACCTGCCTCCATGATCGAATAACCTCTCACCAGGTCTCTCCCTCCATGCGTGGGAATTATTACAATTCAAGATAAGATTTGTGTGGGAAGCCTGACGTGGTGGCTCACTCCTGTAATCCTAGCACTTTGGGAGGCCGAGGTGGGCGGATCACGAGGTCAGGAGATCGAGACCATCCTGGCTAACACAGTGAAACCCCGTCTCTACTGAAAATACAAAAAAATTAGCCAGGCATGGTGGCAGGCACCTGTAGTCCCAGCTACTCGGGAGGCTGAGGCAGGAGAATGGCGTGAACCTGGGAGGCGGAGCTTGCGGTGAGCCGAGATCGCGCCACTGCACTCCAGCCTGGGCAACAAAGCGAGACTCTGTCTCAAAAAAAAAAAAAAAAAAAAAAAGATTTGTTTGGGGACACAGAGCCAAACCATATCAGAGCTGAATACTAATTTGAGAGGATGTCTTTTTTTTCTGGTTTGTTTTTTTGCACAAAATGGGTGCTGCAATATAAACCCTTCATTATTTCCAGCCAGTTTGGCTGCTGCCAGGGGCTCCTTCCCCTTGTTGGGTCTACAGTTGCCAAGGGAATGATGGAAGAATTTCTCAAAGAGGCTTCTATTTAACTTAACTCCCCAGATGAGTCAGTGACACCTTAACTCCTGGGAGCAGTTTGGAGCAGAGGATATAGCTCTGACCTTCATGTGCTTGATTACACTGAGATGTTCAAGACAGAATGTCATGAAATTTCTAAAGGGAGAATCCTGTCCTCTGTAAAGTTAACTCTGATGTAATTTGAGGAATTAAATATAAAAGTATCCTTGGACATACATGTTGGCCAAGTCCTTCTTTTACATTCTTTGTGCCCAGGATAGCCTGTAGAGGAGGTGGTAAAATGACTAACATTCAATTAGATCCTAAAATCCGTTAGGAATTGAGCTGAAAACTTTACACGAATCACTTAAAAATATAGCAGATGCACAGTGTAGGGTCTGGCACAGTGGCTCACGCCTGTAATCCCAGCAGGTTGGGTGGCCGGGGTGGGCAGATCACCTGAGGTCAGGAGTTTGAGACTAGCCTGGCCAACATGGCAAAACCCCATCTCTACTAAAAATACAAAAATTAGCAGGGCATGCTGGCTGTCACCTGTAATCCCAGCTACTCAGGAGGCTGAGGCTGGAGAATTGCTTGAACCCAGAAGGCGAAGGTTGCAGTGAGCCAAGATCGCACCATTGCACTCCAGCCTGGGCAACAAGAGTGAAACTCTGTCTCAGAAAAAAAAAAAAAATCCACAGTATAATGTCCTTATTTTACAGAGAAAACAGGTTTCAAGAAGTCATGGGTTTGCTCAGAATCATACAGCTTGCACATGGCTGAGCTGATATTAGAACCCAGTTCAGTCTGACTTTCAAGCCTTTGCTCCTAGCAACCATGATACATTGAATGACTATGTCAGGGAGTTTGGAAGGAGGGTAGTGAGGTGATATATGGATGGTGAAAGTTGTTTCCAAAATTATGAATTCGTATACGAGCTTTAATTTAGTTAGCCAGGATTCTTGGTTGGAAGTGACAGAATCCTAATTTAAACTAGCTTAGGCCAGAAAGAAAAAATAAATAAATGTATTGGCTCATTTAAAAAGTCCAAAGGCTGGTAACATAGAACTAGGGGTTTAAACGAAAGTTTCAGAATCATTGTCTACATGTATTCATCTGTTAATTATAGTGGGTGTTTGGTGTTGGTTTTGTTTTGTAGGCTGGCTGTGTCTACATCACGGAGAAAATGACTCCTGACAACACTAGGCTTACATAATCTTTGTAGTTCAGGAACTCATATGAGTAGATTACCCTCTCTCCACAATCATCCATATCAATCCTTGAAAAATACTGGCACCACCTGGATCACATACCCATCCTTGGACTAATTACTGTATTTGAAGGGAAATACAATACTCTTATTGGCCAACCTGAGTCGTAAGTTCACCTTTAGCAGAACTGATGGCGCCATGAGATTGACAGCCCTAACTGTTCCCAAAAACACAGTTTCCAAAACAAAAGAAGACTGGGCAAACCAAAAAAAAAAAGTAAGAAAATAAAAGTGGGTACAAAATTACCAACTCACTAACTAAATAAACACACAGGGCTGTCTCTTGGGTGGCTGAATGAAGGATGTGATGTGAGCAAGGGACAAGCATTATGAGAAACATTGCTTGCTACCTAATCAAGCAAGAAATACAATATGTTAAAAAATAGCTCCCTTGAGTAGGCCACACTGCTTGAATAAAGATAGATGTTTTCTTCATTCTTAAACTATACACCAAAACTGCTGGAATAATGATAACTTCTATCCCTGTAGCATTGCTTTTTTTAGCAAGGAAATCAGGGATCTTTCTAGACATTACCTCATTCATTACTCTGAAAACACAAATTTGTTTAGTAATAAGAATGATGATGATGATGATTATTATTATTATTATTATTTGAGACATAGTCTCACCCTGTCGCCCAGGCTGGAGTGCAGTGGTGTGATCTTGGCTTACTGCAACCTCCACCCACCGGGTTCAAGCGATTCTCCTGCCTCAGCCTCCCGAGTAGCTGGGGTTACAGGCACCCGCCACTGCACCTGGCTAATTTTTGTATTTTTTTTTTTTCAGTAGAGGTGGGGTTTCACCATCTTGGCCAGGCTGGTCATGAACTCTGGACCTCGTGATCCACCCACCCCAGCCTCCCAAAGTGCTGGGATTACAGACATGAGCCACCGGGCCCTGCTGATTATCATTATTTTATAGGGGGAAAAAAGATGAAAATGTCTTTATCCAAAGTCAGCATCTGGTGGATTGAATTCAGGCATTCTTTAACTTAGAAACTCTCTTGGCAGAATAACACCTGAATGCCTACCTCTGGATTCTCTTAAACCCAAAATCCTTCCAGAGCTGTTTTTTCCAGAAGGGCTATCTTAGCTTTTGTCCTTTGGATTCTTCCCTCCACCCTTTTCCTTCTTGAAGGTTCTAGACTAAGAACTTGAGGTTAGTACTATAGGGTAACCAACCCAGGGAGTTTTTTTTTTTCTTCTCCATTCTCCTCTCCTCCTTCCTGCAGTTACCTGAGAAATTAAACTTTTCTTTCTTTCATTTATTTATTTATTTATTTATTATTATTATTATTTTGAGATAGAGTTTCACTCTTGTTGCCCAGGCTAGAGTGCAATGGTGAGATCTCAGCTCACTGCAGCCTCGGCCTCGCGGGTTCAAACAATTCTCCTGCCTCAGCCTCCCAAGTAGCTGGGATTACAGGTGCCTGCCACCACGCCCGGCTAATTTTTTGTACTTTTAGTAGAGACAGGATTTCGCCATGTTGGCCAGGCTAGCCTCGAACTCCTGGCCTCAGGTGATCCACCCACCTTGGCCTCTCAAAGTGTTGGGATTACAGGTGTGAGCCACTGCGCCCAGCCAAAATTAAACTTTTCAACTTTGCTTAACCATCATCTCTTTGTATTCTCCTTTGTTATAGAACTCTTCTTATTTTGTTGTCTTATTTGTTTGTATGTGCATCTTTCCCCATTTTCTCTAAGCCTTCTGTCATTGACGAGGTGATAAAGCTTATGTTTATTCATACTTGGGTGCATAGTTTTTACACTGCCTAACAGATCATAGGTACTCAGTGAATGTTAGCTGAGTGAATGAGAACTTTACCGTTAATTGTAAAATAGTGATTCCCTAGTTTGTAAACAGGCAAGAGAATAGAATTCAGGGAAAATTTTGTACAACCCAAAGAACTATGGATATACTAAACTTAAATAGCTAAGTATATAATTGTATACTAAATTGAGTCTCATACTAGATTTTATTATTAAAAAAATAATAACAGTATCAGAAGTTTAAAGAAGCAGTAAAATGTGTACCTTAAGATGAAATTTAGAGTCCCAAAGACCCAAGTTCTATTACTGGCTGTTCTGATTATTATTACTGCATAATTAATTGCCCCAATAATTAGTGATATAAAACAACAACAAGGGCAGGGCATGGCAGCTCATGCCTATAATCCAAACACTTTGGGATGCCAAGGCGGGTGGACCACTTGAGTCTAGGTGCTCAAGATCAGCCTGGGCAACATGGCAAAACCCCTTCTCTACCAAAAATAAAAAAATTAGCCAGGCCTGGTGGTGTGCATCTGTAATTCCAGCTACTTGGGAGGCTGAGGCATGAGAATCTGTTGAACCTGGGAGGCAGAGGTTACAGTGGGCTGAGATCACGCCACTGCAATCCAGCCTGGGCAACAGAGCAAGACACCATCTCAAAAACAGCAACCACAACAAAACAACTAGGTTGTTCTCACCTGGAGTGTCTCATACAGTTCAAGTCAGACATGGAGCTGCAGGCATCTGAAGACTCAATTGTGCTGGACGTTTAAATGGCTCACTTACATGGCTCATAGTTGATAGTAGGCTATAAAGCAAAGAACCTACATGTGGCCTCTCTAGCATGAAGGTTTCAGGATGGTCAGATTTCTCACATGCCAGTTGGTTTCTACTAGAAAAGCATCACAAAAGAGCCAGTTGAAAGCTGTTGATCTTTTCTAACCTAGCCTCAGAAGTCACACAGTGTCATTTCCAATGGATTCTATTGGTTACAAGTGAGTCCCTAAGGCCAGCCCACATTTAAGGGAAAGGGACATAGACTGTCAATAGGAGAAATGTGAAAGTGTTTGTGGACATTTTTTTTTTTTGAGACAGAGTCTCGCTCTGTTGCCCAGGCTGGAGTGCAGTGGCACGATCTTGGCTCACTGCAAGCTGTGCCTCCTGGGTTCACGCCATTCTCCTGCCTCAGGTTCCTGAGTGGCTGGGACTACAAGCGCCCGCCACCACGCCTGGCTAATTTTTTTTTTTTTGTATTTTTTGTAGAGATGGGGTTTCACCATGTTAGCCAGGGTGATCTCGATCTCCTGACCTCATGACCCGCCCGCCTCAGCCTCCCAAAGTGCTGGGGTTACAGGCGTGAGCCATCGCACCTGGCCTATGGACATGTTTTAAATTTATCACACTGGCTCTACCACCTAGTATTTGAGTAGCCAGTGGAAAATTAGAGTTTTTCTATCTATAAAATGTGATCCTTGTGAAGATCAAATGAAATGATGTATGTAAAGAATTTAGCTCACAATAAGCTCTCAAATGGTGATATGGGTTGGCTGTGTCCCCACCCAAATCTCAACTTGAATTGTATCTCTCAGAATTCCAACGTGTTGTGGGAGGGACCCAGAGGGAGGTGATTGAATCATGGGGGTCTGTCTTTCCCATGCTATTCTCGTAATAATGAATAAGTCTCAAGAGATCTAATGGGTTCATCAGGGGTTTCCACTTTTGCTTCTTCCTCATTTTCTCTTGCTGCCGCCACAAATAAGTGCCTTTCACCTCCTACCATGATTCTGAGGCCTCCCCAGCCATGGGGAACTGTAAGTCCAATTAAACTTTTTCTTCCCTGTCTTGGGTATGTCTATATCAGCAGCTTGAAAACAGACTAATACAAATGGTCTTTTTTTTTTTTTTTTGAGAAGGCGTCTCCCTCTGTCACCCAGGCTGGAGTGCAGTGGCTCCATCTCTGCTCACTGCAACCTCCGCCTCTCGGGTTCAAGCAATTCTCCTGCCTCAGCCTCCTGAGTAGCTGGGATTACAGGCACATGCCACCACGCCCGGCTAATTTTTTTTGTTTTTAGTAAAGACGAGGTTTCAGCATGTTGGTCAGGCTGGTCTTGAACTCCTGACTTCGTGATCCGCCCACCTCGGCCTCCCAAAGTGCTGGGATTATAGGCGTGAGCCACCAACAAAAGGTCTTTTATTATTGGGAGAAACTACATGGGGAAAACTGTTAAAACCAAGAAAATGACATCCATGAATTACATTACCCTGAATATTGGAGAAACAGCATTACTCTCTCTTATATTTTTCTATAAGAATTCCCCTTGTGGGACACTAGTGTCCCATGGGAGCATATTTTTAAAACACCACATTCTAACAATATTTGTATACATACAATCATTCTAAGTTCCAATCAGCTGATTGAAATTTGAACTTTTGAAACCCAACTTACTTGTTTATAACTGCAAAGTAGTCTCCATATGTATGAATGTATATCTATTTATCAGGCTAATAACATACCACATTGCTATTCTGTCAAAGGGATAAAAGAAAAAAAAAGTTTACCAGGAAAAAAAAAATCTGTTAGTCATTGAATAATATGACTTTGTATTAGGTTAAAAATTTTCAGGAGAGAGATTGATATAGTTTATCTTCATTTAACACAAAAGCAACAACTTTGAAGACTATCAGACCCTGTGCTGAAGTATCACATTGATTCAATAGCTAGAATCACAATTAATAAAGAACAGGAAAATCATTAACATGGGTGATGCAATCATCCTGTAATCAGTCTTTTATAAATACCCTGTGAGTAGGCTGGGCACGGTGGTTCACACCTGTAATCCCAGCTCTTTGGGAGGCTGAGGCAGGTGGATCACCCAACATCAGGAGTTTGAGACCAGCCTGGCCAACATGGTGAAACACCGTCTCTACTAAAAATACAAAAAATTAGCCAGGTGTGGTGCTGGGCACCTGTAATCCCAGCTACTCAGGAGGCAGAGGCAGGAGAATTGCTTGAACTCGGGAGGTGGAGGTTGCAGTTAGCCGAGATCACGCCGTTGCACTTCAGCCTGGGCAACAAGAGCAAAACTTTTTCTCAAAAAAAAAAAAAAGAAAAAACTCAGTGGTGATTAATTTCATGTAATATTATTCACTGCTGTAATCCCCTCCTTGCTCTTCCCCTGCCTCAGAACCAAGAAATATTTGAATCCAATACAAGGATTCTTGCTATAGACTTATATTAAAAGGTTTAATTAACAGAAAATCCTGCACCAAATACAATCAAACACAGAGATTGCTCTCCATCAAGATCTCAGGGATTCCTGAGCAACCTCTGTCTATAGAGTCCATTCACTTTAATCAGAATCACTGACACATTGTCTTGCTGAGAAGCTGTGACAGACTTTAGTTTGCATTCACTTTTTTTTTTTTTTAATTTTATTTTAAGTTCTGGGATACAAGTGCAGAACGTGAAGGTTTGTTACATACATATACGGGTACCATGGTGGTTTGCTGCACCTATCAACCCATCATCTAGGTTTTAAGCCCCTCATGCATTAGCTATTTGTCCTAATGCTCTCCTTCCCCTCACCCCCCACCCCCTGACTGTCCCTGGTGTGTGTTTTTCCCCTCCCTGTGTCCATGTGTCCTCATTATTCAACTTCCACTTATGAGTGAGAACATGCGGTGTTTGGTTTTCTGTTTCTGTGTTAGTTTTCTGAAGATGATGTTTCCAGCTTCATCCATGTCCCCGCAAAGGACATGATCTCAATCCTTTTTATGGCTGCATAGTATGGTATTCCATGGTGTATATGTGCCACATTTTCTTTATCCAGTCTACCACTGATGGGCATTTGGTTGGTTCCATGTCTTTGCTATTGTAAACAGTGGTGCCGTAAACATATGTGTGCATGTGTCTTTATAGTAGAATGATTTATATTCCTTTAAGTATATACCCAGTAATGGGATTGCTGGGTAAAATGGTATTTCTGGTTCTAGATCCTTGAGGAATGGCCACACTGTCTTCCACAATAGTTGAACTAATTTACATTCTCACCAACAGTGTAAAAGTGTTCCTATTTCTCCACAGCCCCTCCAGCATCTATTGTTTCTTGACTTTTTAATAATTGCCATTCTGACTGGCATGAGATGGTATCTCATTGTGGTGTTGATTTGCATTTCTCTAATGATCAGTGATGTTGAGCTTTTTTTTGTATATTTGTTGGCCACATAAATGTTGCAATCACTTTTATATTCAAGTTTCTAGGACTTTTTGGAACTCTCCTTCATGTAATGAATTTTGAAAGTAACCAAGACTTTCCCTTTAGCTCTTAGCCTATGGAATCATCTTCTCTACTCTCTAGAAGCCCTTGCTTAACTTCACTGAGTGTTATCTATTATTCACTTATCACCTTCTGGGAAGCCATTGAACAAAGAAAAACCTGGAGAGTCATGAGAACTCTCTGCTGTTTGTAGGAGGAGAGAACTTAAATTCTTTGCTAATGATCACCATCTTATTTCTATTATAATTTTCTTATCTTGGGCAGAATAATGTTTCCTCTCTACTCTATCATCCAGTGGACTTACTACTACCACTTTTCTCATTCTTCCAATGCTTTTTTACAATATATCCCTGCATGACAGTCTCATTTTGGGAGATGTGTTAAACCATGCACAAATGGGAAGAAAAAACCTAGCGCCAATAATAATAACCTGATGTTAGTGAAGAAAGAAAGTTATACAATCCAGTCAATGTTGAATATCAATGGGGCACAAATGAATTGACCAACAACCAATCTCTGTTCTCAGCTTTCCTGGGGAGATTTCTGTCTTTGCTGTTTTCATTGAATCCTCATTTGTTTTCTTACCTTTCAGGCAGCCATTTTACTTCACTGGCCTAATATAATCAGTTCTTATCTGTGGGTTCCATATCCCTGGATTCAATCAACTGGAGACAGAAAACATATAAAAACAAATAAATACATAAATAATGACAATATGGGCTGGGTGCGGTGGCTCACACCTGAAATCCCAACACTTTGGGAGGCCAAGGTGACCAAATCACCTGAGGTCAGGAGTTCAAGACCAGCCTGGCCAACATGGTGAAACCCCATCTCTACAAAAATACAAAAATTAGCTGGATATGGTGGCAGGTGCCTGTAACCCCAGCTACTCTGGAGGCTGAGGCAGGAGAATCACTTGAATCTGGGAGGCAGTGGTTGACTGAGCCAAGATCGTGCCTTTGCACCCCAGCCTGAGCAACAGAGCGAGACTCCGTCTCAAAAAAAATAAGTATAAATAAATAAATAAATAAAATAGGCCAGGTGCGGTGGCTCACACCTGTAATCCCAGCACTTTGGGAGGCCGAGGCAAGCTGATCATGAAATCAGGAGTTTGAGACCAGCCTGACCAACATAGTGAAACTCTGTCTCTACTAAAAATACAAAAAAATTAGCCGGGCATGGTGGCGGGCACCTGTAATACCAGCTACTTGGGAGACTGAGGCAAGGAGAATGGCTTGAACCTGGGAGGCGGAGGTTGCAGTGAGCTAAGATCGCGCCACTGCACTCCAGCCCAGGTGACAGTGTGAGACTCCATCTCAAAAAAATAAATAAAAATAAAACAATAATAACACAACAATAAAAACAATACTGAATAACAGCCATTTTCATAAGATTTACATTGTATTAGATATTATCATATAAATAACGTAGAGATAATGAAGCATATGGGAAGATGTACACAGGCAATATGCAAATACTATGCCATTTCCTATAAGAGACTTGAGCATCCTTAGATGTTGGTCTCCAAAAGGGTCCTGGAACCGACTGCCTGTGCATACCAAGGGATAACTATATTTTTTGTTGAAAGAGAAGCCATTCAATGATTGTAGGGACAAAAACCCACTTCCTTCCTGTCCCACTTTCTAACAAGGCACTTCCTTCAAGAGTACATTTCCTCCATCAGATTTAGTTTTATTATTTGAGAATATTCTTACATATATATGTGTGGTGTGTGGATGCACATGTGTGTGTACACATCTGCATATATAGGTATATGTGGATTATAGGTATAATGGGGTATTAGTGCAGTGAATATAAGTACCACACCATCCTCACTAGTTTTGTGATTTTTAACAATTTACCATGCTGTGCCTCATTTTTTTAGACCTGTAAAACAAGAATAATGATAGTACTTCCCTCAGGATGGGATTGTGAAGATTCAGTAAAACTTGTTAGAAAGTGCCTGATACATGGAAATACTCAATGAATCTTAGCTTAGCTATTATCATTGCCTAAAATTTCTTCTTTTACAATTTTACTAGGGCATGTACAACACAATCTTAGGTCCCAAAAGATCTCAATTCTAGATGCCAACACTATTTACGCTTACCTGTAATATGCACACTCCATTCATGTTACAACACCCAGGGGGTTTATTTTTTATTTTATCCCAACTCCATATGACCATTTATCTTGCTGCCTTCTGCCCATTCCACACCTTCCTTGACTAAAGGAAATAAAGATCAATATTTAGAAAAATATAAAAGAAGGTAAAGGTCTCTGTAATTTCTCAAAGTTTGTGTTCAGTATATGTTGATCCATGAGCCTAAAATAGATTTGAAAAGGATGAGGGACTTTGCCCCCTTTTCTGTGGTCTATTGTAAAGTGACTAAGGTCAGGCAGAGAATGTAAGGAAGTAGAGGAAAACTAAAGCTCTTTGATACAAATTAATTTGAAATTGACAGGCAACTACCATAAAAATTCATCTAGTACTTAGAAAGTTGCACTGCCCAATTCCTTACCTGATTGGTACTCTACTTGAATAAGGATAAAACACACAAGTTAAAGAAAAATGAAATAGTAACCATACCAGCAGCAGAATAAATCAGAGCAAACCAGGAGAAAATGCATAAGGTTAAGACAATGTTAGAGTTAACATTTGTTTCATTCAATTTGGTTTGGTGCAGCTGGGATTAGCTATGTCTTTGTATTTTCAGTTCTTTTCAGATGAATTCTTCCTGTTAGAACTTATGTTCTTTCTATCACATTTTGATCTTTTTCCTTTTCCATATTAAAAGACTTCTGGAAAACCAGAAATATAAATGTTGTTTATAAAAATTTTTCTTGTCCTGGTATGAATGAAAATTAAACAGCTATGCCTGAGATATCAATGTCCAATCAATCTCAATATTAAAAACTCAGTCATTGTGCAGTTTTAATTAAATTGATAGCTATCTTTAGTTCACATGATTTCATTCCAGAAAAGACAAAAATGTCAAAAGTGGATATTAAACATTAAGAAATCTTTTATTCTTAATATACTTAATACAGTATATATCAGTATGTAATTATCAAATATAGAAGGCTAATAATTTTTTAAAACCTTAGAACATAATGAATTCATTGTCAACAAAAACTCTCATGGAAATTTCTAAAGGCAAAGACTCAAAATATAATTGAATATTCTTTTTGAAATGAACAAAACTTCCATAATTATTCTATAGACTAGCGAGGTAAAATGTTTCCCTTGCCTTTCAAAAGTTTTTCTTACAGAAGCAAAGAACATGTAATCTATGGCTCTGAATCAAAACCTACAGGCTTACTTATAGCCTTCCATTGCTTCTCTGATTAAAACAAAGTCAAAAGTAGTAGCATCACATATTATTTAAAGTCAAATTGTGTGTGTGTGTTGGTGGAGTCATTATCCACTTTTGGGTTTTCCCCCATTTCCTAAATCCAATTCTTGGACATATAGCCAACAAGCTGCATAGCAAGCACATGGAGGAGACTCATTAAATATTTACATAAATGAATTGTTTTTCTTCCGTTCATTTTCTGAAAAACAGAATGGGTTCCTACTCTTTTTTCTTTTAAGATTGAATTTAGGGGTTGGCCAAAATGGCCAAATAGGAACAGCTCCGGTATGCAGCTCCCAGTGAAATCGACGCAGAAAGCAGGTGATTTCTGCATTTCCAACTGAGATACCCAGTTCATCTCATTGGAACTGGTTGGACAGTGGGTACAGCCAGCCCACCGAGGGTGAGCCGAACCAGGGTGGGGCATCACCTCACCCGGGAAGCACAAGGGGTCAGGGATTTCATTTCCCTAGCCAAGGGAAGCCATGAGAAACTGTACCCGGAGGAATGGTGACCTCTGGCCCAGATACTGCACTTTTCCCAGGGCCTTCACAATCGGCAGAACAGGCGATACCCTCCCGTGCCTGGCTCAGCTGGTCCCACATCCATGGAGCCCAGCAAGATAAGACCCACTGGCTTGAAATTCTCGCTGACAACACAGCAGCAGTCTGAGATAGACCTGGGATGCTCCAGCTTGGTGGGGGGAGGGGCATCTGCCACTGCTGAGGCTTGAGTAAGCGGTTTTATCCTCACAGTGTAAGCAAAGCCTCTGGGAACTTCAAACTGAGCAGAGCCCACTGGAGCTCAGCAAGGCTGCTGTGGACAGACTGCCAGATTTCTCCTCTCTGGGCAGGGCATCTCTGAAAAAAAGGCAGCAGACCAAGTCAGGGACTTAGATATGGAACCCCCATCTCGCTGGGACAGAGCGTCTCCGGAAAGGGGCTGTTGTGGGTGCAGCTTCAGCAGACTTAAACGTCCCTGCCTGACAGCTCTGAAGACCGCAGTGGACCTCCCAGCACAGTGGTCAAGCTCTGCTAAGGGTCAGACTGCCTCCTCATGTGGGTCCCTGACCCCCATGTATCCTGACTGGGAGACACCTCCCAGTAAGGGCCAACAGACACCTCATACAGGAGAGCTCTGGCTGGCATCTGACGGGTGCCCCTCTGGGACGAAGCTTCCAGAGGAAAGAACGGGCAGCAATCTTTGCTGTTCTGCAGCCTCTGCTGGTGATACCCAGGCAAACAGGGTCTGGAGTAGACCTCCAGCAAACTCCAGCAGACCTGCAGCAGACGGGCTTGATTGTTAGAAGGAAAACTAACAAACAGAAAAAAATAGCACATCCACTTAGAGACCCCATCCGAAGGTCACGAACATCAAAGACTAAAGGTAGATAAAACCACAAAGATGGGGAGAAACCAGCACAAAAAAGCTGAACATTCCAAAAATCACAACCCCTCTTCTCCTCCAAAGGATGACAGTTCCTCGCCAGCAAGGGAATAAAACTGGATGGAGAATGGTTTGACAAATTGACAGAAGTAGGCTTCAGAATGTGGATAATAACAAAGTCCTCCCAGCTAAAGGATAATGTTCTAACCCAATGCAAGGAAGCTAAGAAACTTGAAAAAAGGTTAGACAAATTGCTAACTAAAATAACCAGTTTAAAGAAGAACATAAATGACCTGATGGTGCTGAAAAACACAGCACAAGAACTTCGTGAAGCATACACAAGTATCAATAGCTGAATTGATCAAGCAGAATAAAGGATGTCAGAGATTGAAGATCAACTTAATGAAATAAAAATAAAAAAAGAAGACAAGATTAGAGAAAAAAAAATAAAAAGGGAACGAACAAAGCCTCCAAGAAATATGGGACTATGTGAAAAGACGAAATCTACGTTTGACTGGTGTACTTGAAAGTGACGGGGAGAATGGAACTAAGTTGGAAATCACTCTTCAGGTGATTATCCAGGAGAACTTTCCCAACCTAGCAAGACAGGCCAACATTCAAATTCAGGAAATACAGAGAACACCACAAAGATACTCCTCGAGAAAAGCAACCCCAAGACAAATAATCCTCAGATTCACCAAGGTTGAAATGAAGGAAAAAATGTTAAGGGCAGCCAGAGAGGAAGGTCGGGTTACCCACAAACGGAAGCCCATCAGACTAAGAGCAGACCACTCTGCAGAAACCCTATAAGCCAGAAGAGAATGGGGCCAATATTCAACATTCTTAAAGAAAAGAATTTTCAACCCAGACTGAGCTTCATAAGTGAAGGAGAAATAAAATCCTCTACAGACAAGCAAATACTGAGAGATATTGTCACCACCACCTGCCTTACAGGAGCTCCTGAAGGGAGCACTAAACATGGAAAGGAACGACTGGTACCAGCCACTGTAAAAACATACCAAATTGTAAAGACCATCGACACCATGAAGAAACTACATCAACTAATGGGCAAAATAACCAGCTAGCAACATAATCACAGGATCAAATTCACACATAACAATATTAACCTTAAATGTAAACGGGCTAAATGCCCCAATTAAAAGACACAGACTGGCAAATTGGATTAAGAGTCAAGACCCATTAGTGTGCTAAATTCAGGAGACCTGTCTCTTATGCAAAGACACACATAGACTCAAAACAAAGGGATGGAGGAATATTTACCAAGCAATGGAAAGCAAAATAAAGCAGGAGTTGCAATCCTAATCTCTGATAAAATAGATTTTAAACCAACAAAGATCAAAACAGACAAAGAAGGCCATTACATAATGGTAAGGGATCGATGCATCAAGAAGAGCTAACTATCCTAAATATATATGCACCCATTACAGGAGCACCCAGATTTATAAAGCAAGTCCTTAGAGAGCTACAAAGAGACTTAGACTCCCACACAATAATATTGGGAGACTTTAACACCCCACTGTCAGCATTAGACAGATCAACAAGACAGAAAATTAACAAAGATATGCAGGACTTGAACTCAGCTCTGGATCAAGCAGACCTAAAAGACATCTACAGAACTCTCCACCCCAAATCAACAGAATATGTGTTCTTCTCAGCACCTCATTGCACTTATTCTAAAATTGAAAGTAAAATTGGAAGTAAAACACTCCTCAGCAAATGCAAAAGAACGGAAATCATAACAGTCTCTCAGACCACAGTGCAATGAAATTAGAACTCATGATTAAGAAACTCACTCAAAACCACACAATTACATGAAAACTGAACAACCTGCTCCTGAATGACTACGTGGTAAATAATGAAATTAAGGCAGAAATAAAGATGTTCCTTGAAACCAATGAGAACAAAAGCACAACATACCAGGATCTCTGGGACACATTTAAAGCAGTGTGTAGAGAGAAATTTATAGCACTAAATGCCCACAAGACAAAGCAGAAAAGATCTAAAATTGAGATCCTAACCACAAAATTAAAAGAACTAGAGAAGGAAGAGCAAACAAATTCAAAAGTTAGCAGAAGACAAGAAATAACTAAGATCAGAGCAGAACTGAAGGAGATAGAGACACAAAAAACCCTCAAAAAATCAATGAATCCAGGAGGTGGCTTTTTGAAACGTCAACAAAATTGATAGACTGCTAGCAAGACTAATAAAGAAGAAAAGAGAGAAGAATCAAACAGATGCAAGAAAAAGTGATAAAGAAGAGATCACCACTGATCCCACAGAAATACAAACTACGATCAGAGAATACGATAAACACCTCTATGCAAATAAACTAGAAAATCTAGAAGAAATGGATACATTCGTGGACACATACACCCTCCCAAGACTAAACCAGGAAGAAGTTGAATCCCTGAATAGACCAATAACAAGATCTGAAATTGTGGTAATTAATAGTCTACAACCAAAAAAAGTCCAGGACTAGAGAGATTCACAGCCAAATTCTACCAGAGGTACAAAGGGGAGCTTGCATCATTCCTTCTGAAACTATTCCAATCAATAGAAAAAGAGGGAATCCTCCCTAACTCATTTTATGAGGCCAGCATCATCCTGATACCAAAACCTGGCAGAGACACAACAAAAAAAGAAAATTTCATGCCAATATCCCTGATGAACATTGATGCAAAAATCCTCAATAAAATACTGGCGAACCAAATCCAGCAGCACATCAAAAAGCTTCTCCGCCACGATCAAATCAGCTTCATCCCTGGGATGCAAAGCTGGTTCAACATACGCAAATCAATAAACTTAATCCATCACATAAACAGAACCAATGACAATAACCACATGATTATCTCAATAGATGAAGAAAAGGCCTTCAAAAAAATTCAGCACCGCTTCATGCTAAAAACTCTCAATAAACTAGGTACTGACGGGTCTTATCTCAAAATAATAAGAGCTATTTATGACAAACCCACAGCCAATGTTATACTGAATGGACTAAAACTGGAAGCATTCCCTTTGAAAACTGGCACAAGACAAGGATGCTCTCTCTCACCACTCCTATTCAACATAGTATTGGAAGTTCTGGCCAGGGCAATCAGGCAAGAGAAAGAAATAAAGGGTATTCAAATAGGAAAAGAGGAAGTCAAATCGTCTCTGTTTGCGGATGACATGATTATATATTTAGAAAACCCCATTGTCTCATCCCTAAATCTCCTTAAGCTGATAAGCAACTTCAGCAAAGTCTCAGGATACAAAATCAATGTGCAAAAATCACAGGCATTCCTATACACCAATAATAGAGAGCCAGATCATGAGTGAACTCCCATTCACAATTGCTACTAAGAGAATAAAATACCTAGGAATCCAACTTACAAGGGATGTGAAGGACCTCTTCAAGGAGAACTATAAACCACTGCTCAAGGAAATAAGAGAGGACACAAACAAATGGCAAAACGTTCCATGCTCATGGATAGGAAGAATCAATATCATGAAAATGGCCATACTGCCCAAAGTAATTTATAGATTCAATGTTATCCCCGTCAAGCTACCACTGACTTTCTTCACACAACTGGAAAAAAAACTACTTTAAACTTCACGTGGAACCACAAAAGAGCCTGCATAGCCAAGACAATCCTAAGCAAAAAGAGCAAAGCTGGAGGCATCACGCTACCTGACTTCAAACTATACTACAAGGCTACAGTAATCAAAACAACATGGTACTGGTACCAAAACAGATATACAAACCAATGGAACAGAACAAAGGCCTCAGAAATAACATCACACATCTGCAACCATCTGATCTTTGACAAACCTGACAAAAACAAGGAATGGGGAAAGGATTCCCTATTTAATAAAAGGTGATTGGAAAAGTGGCTAGCCATATGCAGAAAACTGAAACTGGACCCTTTCCTTACAACTTATTCAAAAATTAACTCAAGATGGATTAAAGACTTAAATGTAAGACCTAAAACCGTAAGAATCCTAGAAGAAAACCTAGGCAATACCATTCAGGACATAGGCATGGGCAAAGACTTCATGTCTAAAACACCAAAAGCAATGGCAACAAAAGCCAAAATTGACAAATGGGATCTAATTATACTAAAGAGCTTCTGCACCACAAAAGAAACTATCATCAGAGTGAACAGGCAACCTACAGAATGGGAGGAAATTTTTGCCATCTATCTATCTGACAAAGGGCTAATATCCAGAATTTACAAGGAACTTAAACAAATTTACAAGAAAAAAACAAACAACCCCATTAAAAAGTGTGCAAAGGATATGAACAGACACTTCTCAAAAGAAGACATTTATGTGGCCAATAAACACATGAAAAAATGCTCATTATCACTGGTCATTAGAGAAATGCAAATCAAAACCACAATGAGATACCATCTCACACCAGTTAGAATGGCAACCATTAAAAAGCCAGGAAACAGGCTGGGCACAGTGGCTCACGCCTGTAATCCCAGCACTTTGGGAGCCCAAGGTGGGCGGATCACCAGGTCAAGAGACCAGGACCATCCTGGCTAACACGGTGAAACCACGTCTCTACTAAAAATACAAAAATTAGCCTGGTGTGGTGGCGGGCGTGCCTGTAGTCCCAGCTACTTGGGAGGCTGAGGCAGAAGAATGGCATGAACCTGGGAGGTAGAGCTTGCAGTGAGCCGAGATCATGCCACTGCACTCCAGCCTAGGTGACAGAGCGAGACTCCATCTCAAAAAAAAAAAAAAAAAGCCAGGAAACAACAGATGCTGGAGAGGCTGTGGAGAAATAGGAACGCTTTTACACTGTTCATGGGAGTGTAAATTAGTTCAACCATTGTTGAAGACAGTGTGGCGATTCCTCAAGGATCTAGAACTAGAAATACCATTTGACCCACCAATCCCATTACTGGGTATATACCCAAAGCATTATAAATCATTCTACTATAAAGACACATGCACACGTATGCTTATTGCAGCACTATTCACAATAGCAAAGACTTGGAACCAACCCAAATGTCCATCAATGATAGGCTGGATAAAGAAAATGTGGCACATATACACCATGGAATACTATGCAGCCATAAGAAATGATGAGTTCATGTCCTTTGCAGGGACATGGATGAAGCTGGAAACCATCATTCTCAGCAAACTAACACAAGAACAGAAAACCAAACACCACATGTTCTCACTCATAAATGGGAGTTGAACAATGAGAACACATGGACACAGGAAGGGGAACATTACACACCGGGGCCTGTTTGGGGGTAGGGGGCTACTGGAAGGACAGTAGGTGATGTGTTGATGGGTGCAGCCAACCACTATGGCACTTGTATAACTATGTAACAAAATGGCACATTCTGCACATGTGTCCCAGAACTTAAAGTATAATAATATAAAAACAAAAAGATTGAATTTAGATAAAATCTAGTAAGGATGTTTTACATTCATTGATCTAAGGTTGTCAATTTCAAAGTTTTATTTATATATGTGATAAGAGCAATATTTTGTTTGGTCCACAGTAATTCCTCTTTTTAAGTTATGACAATGCTCCCTTATCAAGAGCCATACCTGGCAAGTGCAAATCAGTTTCTTTCAACATGTGGAGAAGATAGCTCATCCACAATTAAGGCTGAGTCATTGTGCTTAGTGCTACCAGGAAAAAGAAGGATATGATATCAAGGAAGTATTTTCCAGAGAGAAAGAAAACAAAGTCTCTCCCCTTCCAGAAAAATATGGTCAGAAGTTGGATGTGCAAGTCTTAGGGTGGAGCATTGAGGAAGGATGCTGGTAGAAACAGCCAGAGAGGCAAAATGGACTTTCCAGTTACACTTCAGTGGATACTAGTCTAGAGACCCCTTCTGACTATCCACCAGGTCACAAAGACCAATAGAAAGTCATTTATGAATGCTCAGTGCCTGCACTGCTGAGAGAACTTTCCCCTACAAATGCTATCTTGAGTAGATAAACAAAGAGGGGAGGAACATCCCTAGTATGGAGCTTATATGGTTTGGCTCTGTGTCCCCACCCAAATCCCATCTCGAATTGTAATCCCCAAGTGTGGAGGGAGGGACCTGGTGGGAGGCAATTGAATCATGGGGGCGGTTTCCCCATTTTGTTCTCCTGATAGTGAAGGAGTCCTCACAAGATCTAATGGTTTCAAAGTGGCAGTTTCCACTGCACTCATTCTCCCTCTCTCTCTCCTGCCACCTTGTGAAGAAGGTTTTGCTTCTCCTTCACCTTCTGCCATGATTGTGAGTTTCCTAAGGCCTCCCCAGCCATATGGAACTGTGAGTCAATTAAACCTCTTTTGTTCATAAATTGCCCAGTCTCAGGTAGTATCTTCACAGCAGTGTGAAAATGGACTAATACAAGTGATGACCCTGGAATTGATGAAATATTTATCAGAACACAATTGTTTCATCCAGAAGTTACTTTAATTGGCAAGTTAAAGTCTTTGTTGTTCTATCATTGAACTGTATACACTTAAAGATGGTTAAGGTGTTACATGTATTTTAGCAAAATTTTAAAATATAAGTCTCTTTTGTTTCGTTACTTTCCTCTAACACCACTGCAGGTATAGGAAGTAAAGAAGGTTTTGAAGTTTTTTTTTTTTTTTGCACATCTAATATAATATAACTAAATCTAATCTTGAACACCTCCCTGCCTACACACACACACATACACACACACACACACACACACTTTCTGTTAAAATTTATGACTTTCAGCCCTAGGATCCTTTTCAAACTTTCCTTTCTTTTAAGGATTCTCCTTTTCATAAGTGGAATTCCTCTAGGGTTTTGAGTTTCAGATGGGATGTAAGACTGGATTTTTTTTCCCCTAAAGATCACATAATCATATTCAGTCACATCTTACTCATAAATATAAAATTACAAGCCCTGCACATTAACTTGTCCTCCTCCAAATCTCAAAATCTATAGTACTTGAGGAAGTGAGAGCTTTGAGGAAGTCATGTGTTCTTATTATATTCCAAAGGGCATTTTGGGAGTGGGTCGTTCCACCCCTCTTTTAAAATAATGTTAGTAATATTCTCCTCAGTATTTCCTGCCCATCCCTTCTCTATCTCTAATGTATGCTTGGAGCAGCTTTCCAAAACTCCTTAAACCAAATCAAATGAAATGGAATATGAAACTAGCTTGGTCTGTGCCACTTATGAATATGTGACCTGTGACAATTATTGAAGCTCTCTGACCTTTAATGTTCTCCTTTATAAAATAGGGAAAACCTAAACGTTTAGAGGTTTGTTGTTAGAATTAAATGAAATAAAGAATGCAAACCACTTACTCAATCTAAGTTGCTGTGATGAATATCTTCTTAAATTTAGCCCCTTTCATTTCTTATCTTTCTTTTTTGTTTTGTTTTGTTTTTTTGAGACAGGGTTTCACTCCATCCATTCAGGCTGGAGTGCAGTGGCTGATCTCGGCCCACTGCAACTTCCATGTCCCGGGATCAAGAGATTCTCCTACCTCACCTCCCCAGTAGCTGAGGCCACAGGTGCACGTGCCACCATGCTTGGCTCATTTTTAGTATTTTTGGTAGAGAAGGGATTTCACAATGTTGCCCAGGCTGGTCTCGAATTCCTGAGTTCAAGCAATCCACTGGCCTCTGCCTCCCAGAGTGCTGGGATTACAGATGTGAGTCACAGGTGCCTGGCCTCTCGTTTTATTTTTTCCCCAACTCAGTTCAGTGAAGCTCCTCTCATTTCTACCTCTGTCTTATGGAACACTTGTGAATAAATTTCCCTGTGCTTTCAACATTTTCTTTTATTCATTTAACAAGCACCTACTATAGACCAGATATAATGCCAGCTTCTGGTGATCCAAAAATGAATAAGGTACAGATGGTTCACGATGCCCTCAGAGTAGCAGAGAAGACAGATGCTATAGAAGCCCAGAGTGGGCAGCAACTGACTCTGTCCAGAGTGGGAGGAGGGTGAAAGAAGACTTCTTAAAAGAGAAAACATTTGAGCTGCACAAGAGAGGAGGGAGCAGGCTGCTCATGGTATGTCTCTTGGGCCTCTTCCTTATGAAGAGGATGCCAAGGTTTTCCATGAACCTCTGGGCTTTAGTTTGAAACTCTGCTTTCTTCACATTGCCCTATTTTTCTGAAAACCCTCTACAATAGGATTGAGACACAGAAAGGATACATTTCTTGTCCTTGTGGGGAAATAAAGAGGAAAAATTGTTGTTGCTTTTTTCTCTTTTTTTTTTTTTTGAGACAGGGCCTCATCTTGTCACCCAGGCTGGAGTGTGGAGTGTACTGGCCCAGTTATGGCTCACTGCAGCCTTTCTACTTCTTCTTCATGCATATATTCTTTCATTCTTTATCCACTCCACAACCATTTATAGAGTACCAGTTAAGTACTAGGCACTGTGCTAGATGCTAGAGATACAGAGAGATAAGAAATTTAGTCTAGTGAGAGACACAAACAAGAAAATCAAAGATTACTCTGCATTTATGAGAGCTCTAACAGAAGAATATTAGAATATTCAGGGGGCTGGGGAGCAGTGTTAGGGTGACCAACCAACCCAGTTTACCTGGTACTGTCTCCAATTTAGCACTGAAAATCCCACATCCTGGAAAACTCCTTAGTTCTGCACAAACTGGGACAATTGGTCATCACAGCTCAGGTCATCACAGAGCAGGCTCTCCTAATGCAGCCTGGCATGGGGGCAAGAGTATAATCATGTTAGAAATGATTCCCAGCTTAAATTTAATAAAATACTGATGGATAAAGACATTGGAAACATTCATCAAGTGAATGCTTTTAGCACATGTGAACTAGATTACATTGGGTGATGGGGAAAATCCTAGTAATGTGCCCACAGTTCACGTGGAACATTACTCCTAGAGCTGTATGAAGATTAAGTGATTTAAATATATTTGGGTGTCTGTTACCTGAAAAGATAATTCTGACAAAGTCACTGCCTGCGAGGAGCTTATATTTCAATGAAGATTAAGCTATATATACAAATTATTATAAAGTAAGTTATAGAACAAACTGAAAGCAATTCAGATAAAGGACAGTGGGAGTCAGAGGATGTTATTATTCTGGCCTGGAAGCAGGGGTGCCTTAGAGGATCCAGGGATGACTTCATGGAATAACAATGTAGGTGAACAAAGGAGAATTACAGAAAGGATGAGAAAGAAGGTGCTCAGATGGAGAAGCAAGAGCTCCTGCACAGAAGCAAAGCCAAAAACACACCTGGCACCTCGGGCTCTGGAGAGAATTGTTGAAATTGTGGGATAGAGTGACTCATTCCAAGCTTTCTTGACTTTTTCTCCCTGAATTTTTTTTTTTTTTTTTTTTTTTTTTTTTGAGACGGAGTCTTGCACTGTCGCCCAGGCTGGAGTGCAGTGGCGCAATCTCGGCTCACTACAACCTCCACCTCCCAGATTCAAGTGATTCTCCTGCCTCAACCTCCCAAGTAGCTGGGATTACAGGTGCCCACACCCACACCCAGCTAATTTTTTGTATTTTTAGTAGAGACAGGGCTTCACTATGTTGGCCAGGCTGGTCTCGAATGCCTGACCTCACGATCCACCTGCCTCAGCCTCCCAAAGTGCTAGGATTACAGGCGTGAGCTACCGCACCAGGCCTCTCCCTCAAAATTTTACTTCCACAAAATATTTCCCAGGGACTCTGCAATAATGTGCTCATTTGGAGTTAGTTGGACTGTGGCTATATATTTTTTTAATTAGAGTCAATATATCAAAATTTTGTTTTCCAAAAGCCTTCTTCACAGTGCTAACAGTTTAGTTGAGCAGAATGTAGACACTTCAGGGACTACTCCAGTGTGCTTATTCACCACAGAGTTCATTTTTCAAGCTGAAACTGAATGATAATTGATAGTGTTGGGGCTCAGAACACAATACCCCAAAGTATGGTGCTTTGGCATGCTGAGTACATAAAACTAAAGGAGATTGCAAGGCTTCAGAAGTAGCCTCAGAAGAAAAGCCTCTCTCTGACTGTCTCCTACCCTCCTTTCTCTTGTCCTTGTCTCTCCCCTGAAGTGAGTCATAGAAACCAGAATTCTTCTTCTTCAAGGTAAGTCATAAAAACTAGAACCCTTCTCCCTCAAAGCAAGCCATAACACCTAGAAAGGTTACTGTCTCTCTTCTCCTTCTTCCTTGAAGATCCTCATTTCAGAAGGGGTCCTGCCCCGTTGGCAGGGAGGAAGTTTCACTACACAGTGAGGCCAAGATGAAGCTGGACAGGCCTTGCTGAGCTTTCCACCTTCATCTGTTACCATTGGGTTATACCCCTTTGTCCAGTTACCTATCTGTACAGCTGTTCATTCTTTATAGAACCTAAGCAGTTTTCCCTTGGTCTTTGGGTCTTCACTTCTGAAGACTCTTGTGTCATGTAAAACTTTGATTTTAAAAATATGTTATGCTTTTCTTTTGTTAACCTGCCTTTTTGTTAGGAGTATTAAGTGTCGGCTGTGACCTTTATGATGAGCGAGGAAAGGTATCACATCTTTCCACTCCTACAATAGCAAAATTCAAATTTCATGATCTCGTTTTTCTATTGCTGGTGCCTCCCAGTCTCTCATTCTAAACTCCCATAAATTCACTCACACTGTTCATCCTTGCTTCTCTCTCTGCTCCCCTCCTTCACCTCTTGGGACCATAACATGCAGTTTTCACGTCTCATTTCTCAGCAAAATTATGAAGTGTGTTGAATGAATTCACATTAATAATATTTTAGCTAACAACACTTGGAAGAGTCTACAGATCATTTACCAAGGAAACTAAATTATTTCAAATACTGGTGTCAAAATAAATGAACCAAGCCTTCTCTGACGTAGTAGCTTAACATTTTATTGTGAGTGTGAACACAATTCCCTAATCTCCAAAATACAGCAATCCTTACTGGGTTCTTTCTTCATTAGTGAGAGTACAAAATGTTCTGCTATAGATTTCCCCATAACTTGTAGTGGTGGAATAGGGCATTTCTTTCCTGAAGTAATTCAAACTAATATGGAACTCTTTTCTAATATAAAGATGTCTTTAGAACACCTTGGAATTATTGCAAACGATAAGTAGAATTTATTAACGTTATGAATCAAAGAGAAATGTTGTGTGTTTTTGTTGTCATTAAATAAAATTTAGAGGTGAATCTTTTCTCCATTTTTTTTTTGCTTAATCATGACTCTGTTTTTTCTCTCTCCTAATAGGTTCTCTTCAGTTCCAAAGTATTCCCAGCTGCCGAGAGTCACAAATTCTGTCTGAAAAGCAGGGTGACCTTTTCAGAGAGGAGCCAATGTTTGGAAGCTGAAATACAGAGGAAGGGAGAAAGTTTACTGAATGTGTGCTGGAAGAGGAGAGCTCATTTAGCCAGCCCTCTTCCACTTCACTCATTCCCAACCCCACCCCTACCCACATATTCCAACTCCTCCGCCTCTCCATTCCTCCCTAACCTTACTGGACAAGTAGGACCGCCAGCTATAGGACTGCCAGCTACAGGGATGTGGTAGTCCACTCGGGCTCTTTGAAGTCTTTAAAATTCTCCCTCGGTGTCTGCTTCTTTCCTGGGGGCAGAAAGCAGCACATGGCACCTCAGATCCATGGAACACAGCCCACCACTCCTGAGAAGCAGAGTCGAGGAGCAGCCGACCTGACTTGGAAGGCAGGCTAGCTGGGTTACCCCTGCCCACTGCCAGTTACACAGATTAAACATTTTGTCTGGATATGACCAGATGTCCTCAATTCCCCAGGCTTGAACACACTTACCCTTGCTTCTCCAAATTGCTTTGCATGCCTTACCCACCCCCTCATCCCCACTATTCTTAGCTCTCAAAAAAAAAAAAAAAGATGCTGCAGTTGTCATCCATCTTCCGACTTTTTATCATAGCTTTGCATACTCTTTTCAAATATTCTTTCTCTTTCTCCCTCTTCTTTTTAGCCTCACAATTTTGCTTTTTGTAGACCAATCAAAGATTTCTATGTGTGTCTTCAAAGAAATATTACAAGACAAACCCTCTCCTGGTACAAGAGCTACAGAATTATTTGCATATATAATCTCTTCTTGTGCCTCCTGCTAGCATGGGCCTTTTCGTCTTCAATCCTCATGGTATAACAAAAGAATAAATTATGGTACTACTGATAGAACGTTAAACTGACAATCTTCTGAGGCACCGGCAGTTTAATGGAAACCAAAGAAAATTCAAGATTATACATTTTCTCATAAATGTATTTCTTTTTCCTGTCTTCTCTTTCACATACTATCAATTTTCTTGCCTTCTTATTATTCAGTTTCCTATCTGTCAAATAACAAACCCAAAGCTGCCTTCGAGCCAATCTCCTGTCAATGGAACCGTACTTGCTGATAGAGGATTAAGGTATTGGCAAATCTGTTACAAGGTGTTTAGGTTTATAATTAAAGATTTAGTTAAATTAATAAACAGCAGCAATTTCAAGAAGACTAAAAGGATTGCCTTACCTGATATTTTGCCTCCTTTCTGACTACTAAGGGAAGATGTGAAAAGTGAAAATGAAGGTGTTTATATAGTGCCATCTAGCGACAGATACCTAAAAAAGCTCTGTATCATTTATTGATTGCACAGAGAAAACAAAATCCTTCTACTGGGGTCTGCTTTGGAATCTCCAGGTTTAATTCTAGTTTTTGGGCTTTTGGGTTTTTTTGTTTAACCTTCTATGGGGATAATTCAATCCTGGGGTCTCTTTTGTTTTCACTGAAAGTTTTAAGCTTTAATCTGCTTTGTGGAGAGCCAAAAACATGAAAACTCTTTCAGTATCCAGAGGAACTGCTGCAGTGGTATTTTAACTTTGGACTTTTTCTTGCTATCCCGGTTCTGTCTGTCACACTAAAATAAAACCTTGATTCTGCGAGGTATAGGAAAATATGTTAATAAGCTAAGAAAATGGAAATGATCATGTCATCTAAACCATAATATTGCTCCCCTCTTCCAACTCTTCTCACTTGAATTTATATTTCTCAAATTTTAAATATATGGACATGAAAAAACAAAGATGTCTTCAATTATGCATATTAAAAATATACACCTATGAGAACCATAACCAAGTTTTAGAAGTTGGCCCACTGTTAGCAAAGTTCAGAATGAATAAACAACCCCTATATATATGGAAAGAAACAAAAATTTAAAAAACCATCACCAAATCAGAAACTGCTGTCTAACTTAAGTGATTCATGTTTCCCAGAATCAGCTTGTCCTTTTAAAGGCTGATCTCTAACTTGAGACTGGCTTTGCTTTGACTGTGAGATACTTCTAAGATCAGGTCTCCATTCTGATCCCACTCACCGGCTGCTCTGTTTCCAAAGTACTTCTGCCTTCCCTAGGGGGGTCTCCTCCTGTACAGGCACTGAAAGACTGATCAAATCTGCATGTGTCAATCATTGCCTACTTCCCAGCTGGTGATAGAGGTAGATTCCTACCAAATTTACTCGGAGGACTTGACTTTCTCAGGACCTCTTCCTGTTGTGCATTGTCATGATCTTGCGGCTAAACTAATAGATGTGAAAGTGAATTGAAATGTAAAACATGCTGGGCAAGTCTAAAATGCTTTGAATGATAGGAGGTAATTAAATGAATGACTTTCAAACCTCACTTGATGCCTGCTGAGATATCCTATATCTACTGATTCAAGGGCCAAATCTCTAATTTCCCAATACCACCCATCACTTGGAAGTTTCTCTTCAATACATTGATCTTCTCATGGTTGCCTGATGCTTAGTTATGAAAGGGTTTCTTTTGTCTTGATCTTTTCACCATAAAGATAGGAAAGGCTGGGCATGGTGGCTCATGCCTGTAATCCTAGCACTTTGGGAGGCCAAGGCAGGTGGATCACTCGAGGTAAGGAGTTTGAGGGCAGCCTGGCCAACATGGTGAAACCCCTGTCTCTACTAAAAATACAAAAAGTTAGCCAGATGTGGTGGTAGGCACCTATAGTCCCAGCTACTCCAGAGGCTGAGGCCTGAGAGTTGAACTCGGGAGGCGGAGGTTGCAGTGAGCTGAGATTGCGCCACTGCACTCCAGCCTGGGCGACAGAGCAAGATTTGGTCTCAAAAAAAAAAAAAAAAGAAAGAAACAAAAATAAACTTAATTTTTCAGGATGGTAGATTTTAGGACACTATACTTTCACCATGTTAATTAAAATAAGAGTAACTGAGTGAGATGTACCTGCCTAAAGCAGTTTTAGTTAAAAAGAACTCACACCTCTTTTTTTTTTTTTTTTTTTTTGAGACAGAGTCTTGTTCTATTGCCCAAGCTGGAGTTCAGTGGCACAATGTCAGCTCTCTGCAATCACCACCTCCCGAGTTCAAGCGATTCTCCTGCCTCACCCTCCCGAGTAGCTGGGATTACAGGTGCCCGCCCCACACCTGGCTAATTTTTGTATGTTTAGTAGAGATGGAGTTTCACCATGTTGGTCAGGCTGGTCTGGAACTCCTGACCTTGTGATCCACCTGCCTCAGCCTCGCAAAGTGTTGGGATTACAGGTGTGAGCCACCACGCCCGGCCAACACCTCTGATCTTAATTTCAGCTAAATTACTGCAGAATTTTTCTTTAAGAAACGAGATAGTGATCTCCTAATCTCTATGTTTCAGTACCCTTCCCTCATCCCCAATTCAAAGTCTCCTATTTTATTGACTGCATTAGCAGTGATTTCATAATTGGTAGTTAAAATTGGCATGCAGTGAAGTTTTAGCGGTTGTTGGGATCTTTGTTGATTAAAGAGTTTTAAATTAAATACTAGTTTAGTACTTGATGTTATTTGAAGGGGGCAATCTTCCACAGCAGGAATTTTTGTGGAAGAATGCCAAGTAATGCTTACTTTATGTCTCACTTCCAGTGCTCTCTAGGGGTGCCAAGTTTATTATGGGTTAGAAACTGAACAGGCTTAAGTGGTCCATTTCTAAAATGTAATCATTGAATTTTCATATAATTTTATGAAGGCAATTTAATTATTTTATAATTACATAACCAGAACATAATACGATGTAAAGTCATGATGAATACACTGTCTTGTCTTAAGTATGGCAAAAAACCTTAATCAAATCATATACAGAGATTCAATTAAAGTAATACATAATCTGTTTTGGCATCTCTCTTTCTTTCCTTTCTGAGTAGGCATTAACCCAGAGTTTTCCTGGGAATATGGTTTTTTTAATAAGCCTTCCTTTTATTTATTCTGGCTTTCTAGTAACCTGTAAGACTATTTTGTGTTGCTCTTAAGTAGCATAATGAGACCCAACAGTAAGACACGAGAGTAGCTCTACATGAGAGGACCCTCCTCTTGGAATCTGTCCGCTCACGTTTGGCCTCTGCTCTTGTCAATGTCGTGCAGATAGAGCAGGCATAGATGTTGGAGGTTGGGGTTTATTCTCTGCCCCACTTAAAAACAAACAAGCAAATATGTCTGTGATGTCCAAAACCTATTAATGGAATCTAGATTTCTTATTAAAGTTTCATTAGTTTTATGGATATAATTAAGAGACGAAAGGACATTCCATCTTATAAGATAAACTCAAATGCTGCCGAGAGCTCTAAGGGACTAATGACCTCTCATATTAGAGTTCTTCTTATTTTTAAAGAAATTTTTTATGCTTCAGCTACTAAAGAGACAGTGACTAATAGGGATGAGCATAAATAGATATTTGTATCTTTATGGTTTAGAATTCAGGTCTGTAGAAGCAATATAACTATATGTTCAACAATAGGGGCAGAATAATTCCTGTGTGTTAGGGACAGGGGTGAGAGGTACATTGACAGGAACTGGCAAGGACAGATATTATGGGTTCCATCAGGAAAGAGACATGAGCCTGCTTGGACATCACACCTCTACAAGGAGAAAACTCAGTGTGGAAATGTTAGTGCTGCTGACAAACTGGGCACTAGGGCTGTGGTATGGGGAATCTGATTGAACTGTCTGAGCTTAACATAGGTAGTGGGGAGAAACTAGACTGCTAGCAGATAGTAGCAGATAGTCCTCTGAGGGAAGATGTATGTAAAGGCTTGAATAGGAGCTGGACCAGAAGATTCCATAACCTTATATAGTGTCAATGGCAGAACAGCAGAGGACTAGCAGTGACAAATGGGTCACAAGACATCAAAGAAAAATGCAGCAGCTGCGACTGTAGACTAAAAAATCAAAGATGTTCTCTACTCAGAATGTAGCCACCCTCAGCACTGAGGGTCCTGGTATAGTGGAGGAAGTATTTCAATGATAAATAAGACTTGTACTCTAATGGGATATATATAAATAAATAGAGAAGTATATAGCTAGTTCTATACATATATATTTATCTTTTTATATTTACGTATAAAGACATTTATACATATAAAATACTAGTTATAGAAAATTTAAAATATGGCCAGGCACGGTGGCTCACATCTGTAATCCCAGCACTTTGGGAGGCCGAGGCGGGAGGATCACCTTAGGTCAGAAGTTCAAGACCAGCGTGGTCAACATGATGAAAATCCATCTCTACTAAAAATACGAAAATTAGCCAGGCATGATGGCACATGGTAGCCTCTCAGCTACTAGGGAGGCTGAGGCAGGAGAATCACTTGAACCAAGGAGGTGGAGGTTGCAGTGAGTCGAGATTGCACCACTGCACTCCAGCTTGGGCAACAGAGCAAGACTCTGTCTCAAAAAAAAAAAAAAGAAAAAGAAAAAGAAAAAGAAAAAGAAAAAAGGAGTTCCAGACCAGCCTGGCCAACATGGTGAAATGCCATCTCTACCAAAAATACAAAAATTAGCCAGGCATGGTGGCATGTGCCTGTAATCCCATGTATTCAAGAGGCTGAGGGAGGAGAATCCCTTGAACCCAGGAGGCGGAGGTTGCAGTGAGCCAAGATTGTACCACTGCTCTCCAGCCTAGGTGATAGAGTGAGACTCCATCTCAAAAAAAAAAGAAAAAAAGAAAAGAAAATATAAAATATTTATACATTCTACATTTAATATATATTTTTCAAGTAAAGGCTTTATTTTCATATAGAAACCAAGGACTACAGAACAGCCTCCAGATTCAAAACTTCTGTTTCAGTAATCCTTGGTTTGCATATTAGGTAGGAAAGATTCTAGGAGTGCTAGATCTTTACAAGAAAACTTCTTAATATCATCCTTTACTTCCACCTTCATAATCCCATACATACTATATACAGTTTTAGGTCTATATTAAACTGTTCAAAGAGGACGGGCCCAGTGGTTCATGTCTGTAATCCCAGCACTTTGGGAGGCTGAGGCAGGTGGATCACCTAAGGTCAGGAGTTCGACACCAGCCTGACCAACATGGTGAAACCCCTTCTCTACTAAAAATATAAAAATTAGCCAGGCATGGTGGCGTGTGCCTGTAATCCCAGCTACTCAGGAGGCTGAGGCAGGAGAATTGCTTAAATCCAGGAGGCAGAGGTTGCAGTGAGCCGAGATCATGCCGCTGCACTCCAGCCAGGCCCACAGAGCCAGACTCTGTCTCAAAAAATAAATTAAATAAATAAATAAATAAATAAATAAGCCTGGGCGCAATGGCTTACACCTGTAATCCCAGCACTTTGGAAGGCCGAGGCGGGGGGATCACCTGAAGTCAGGGGTTCAAGACCAGCCTGGCCAACATGATCAAACCTTATCTCTACTAAAAATACAAAAATTAGCCAGTCACTGTGGTGGGCACCTGTAATCCCAGCTACTCAGGAGGCTCAGGCAGGAGAATCACTTGAACCCGGGAGGTGGAAGTTGCGGTGAGCCCAGATCGCGCCAGTACATTCCAGCCTGGGTGACAGAGTGAGACTCCATCTCAAAAATAAATAAATAAAATAAATAAAGTGGTCAAAGAAAGGGAAAAATGAAAAAGGTATATTAATAAAGAGTTACTCAAAATCATGTTAGATGAAATGTGTTAGTCTTAAAAAATAGTTTTTGGCCAGGCATGGTGGCTCACGCCTGTAATTCCAACACTTTGGGAGGCCTGGGTGGGTGGATCACGAGGTCAGGAGTTCTAGGCCAGCTTGGCCAAGATGGTGAAACCCCGTCTCTACTAAAAATAGAAAAATTAGCCAGGCGCGGTTGTGGGCGCCTGTAATCCTAGCTACTCAGGAGGCTGAAGCAGGATAATTGCTTGAACCCGGGAGGCGGAGTTTCCAGTGAGCCGAGATCACACCACTGCACTCTAGCCTGGATGACACAGCGAGACTCCATCTCAAAAAAAAGAAGAAAAAAAGAATAATTTTTAAAGTAGGATGCAATCAGAACTTTTATACATATATAAAATTAACACGTCAAAGATTTTATATAGCTTTGTAATTAATGAGGGAAGCAGTAACATGCTACAACTGATTCATAGATAGGAGAATTAAAAATATCACATATATAATAAGCAATGAGGAAACAAATCTATAAACAAATGCAAAAGCCGTTGGTGTGAGGCAGCCAATAGTGAAGGTGGCTACATGGGTTGCCATGGGGACAGGGCTGTTTCCAGGGAGGCTGTGATGGGGTAACAAGTGCATGACAATGGGAGTTACTCTCAGCAAAGAATGTACAGCAAAGGCAAGAGTAACAGCAGCATTAACCCATGTGACAGCCACACCTTGGTGAAGTTAGCACTTTACATATATGAATATCTGCTCCATGTAGGAGTTCAGAGATCATCCCGAACATTTTTATCAGAGATAAGATGGGGGAAAAAATTGGGAGAACCACCAGGATTCTTACATTCCTGGTGTTGTGTATTTTGGGATCTCTATTTGGCAGCTCCAGAGCCAAAGGAAACATGTGAACACTCAAGTGTAACAAAAAACTTCCATGATTATCTTTTTATATCACCTTGGTACCCTGGAGGTCCAAGGTTCCCATTGAAGATACCTAAAGAGGCACTTGGAAGTATCCTAGGAAGTCAGCCATTACTCCCCAGTGGAATCCAACTTGACAACAAGGACATTTAAGTATGGGTGGGCCAATTTCTCCAAGAGGAATGGTGCCCTGAGGGCCACAGTCTGATCCTTGGTTGTCAGTACAGAATGATGAAGGTGCAATGAGATGCCCAGTGAATGCTTTAGGTGGCTCTGGAATGCCTAGAATGAACATGGGTCTGGAGGGTGGCAGATCTTGGCCAAACCCAACAAATGCCAATTCAGTACCATACTCCTCAACATCTCCTGGGAATTACATAGGCCCTCCAGGAGGTGAGGTCCACAGGAACACCCGTCATGTCTAGTCTAGCAGATTTAATCAACCCTGGAGATATGAATGAATGCAGTATGTTGTAGACCTAACAGACCTAATTTTCCAGTGGAATCTGGGTCAGATGGTACCATGGATGGAGTAGGAGGAGGAATGGAGTCACATCACATGAATGGCTTTTAGGCTCAGGAGATATGGACGGTATTTCTAAGAATTCTCCTGATAAAATGAGCCTGAGTAATCAACTGGGCTCAGGGATAATTGCAAAACTGGGGGAAATTTTTAAAATCCTTTTCAGGGAGTTACTCCTCTCGCATAACAGTGAGTGTGTGATCCATTACCAAGTACCCTCATGTAAACCACAGTGAACTAGCCCATCACAGAACTATCATAAAGGAAAATTATTTATCACAGCGTACATTTAAACAAAGGAATCTGTCCGGGCGTGGTGGCTTACACCTGTAATCCCAGCACTTTGGGAGGCCAAAGTGGGTGAATCACTTGAGGTCAGGAGTTTGAGACCAGCCTGGCCAACATGGCAAAATCCTGTCTCTACTAAAAATATAAAAATTATCCAGGCATTGTGGCACATGCCTGTAATCCCAGCTACTCAGGAGGCTGAGGCAGGAGAATCGCTTGAACCTGGGTGGCTGAGGTGGGAGGATTACTTGAGTCTAGGAGTTCAGGACCAGCCTGGGCAACAAAGTGAGATCGTGTCTACTACCAGCTAGTCAGGAGGCTGAGGAACAAAAATTGCTTGAACTGGAAGGCGGAGATTGCAACGAGCCAAGATCACACCACTGCACTCCAGCCTTGGTGACAGAGTGACACTCTGTCCCCCACCCCAAAAGAAAAGAAAAGGTACAAAGTGGCATATTAAAGTTGACTTAAACTGAACTGCAAATAATTATGTTTGTATGTATATGTGTGGGAAGAAGAATGTACTGTATCTGTGTGTGTTATATGGACATATACACAAACATACATTGACCCTCAGGACATTGTAAAATATTATCACATAACATCTTAGGTAGAAATAAGTAGGGATATTTATTCCATCCTTTATTCACATTAACATTTTAATTACTAAAAGTTGCTTCTGCATCCTCCCTGAACTATTGTGTGCTATCTATGTCCCTGCTTTATGCAAGTTCATTCGTCCGTTCTTTCTTTTCTTTTCTTTCTTTCTTTCTTTCTTTCTTTCTTTCTTTCTTTCTTTCTTTCTTTCTTTCTTTCCTTCTCTTTCTTTCTTTCTTTCTCTTTCTTTCTTTCTTTTTCTTCCTTCCTTCCTTCCTTCCTTCCTTTCTTCCTTCCTTCTTTTTTTTTTTCGACAGAGTCTCACTCTGTCACCTAGGCTGAAGTGCAGTGGGACAATCTGGGCACACTACAATCTTCACCTCCTGGGTTCAAGTGATTCTCTTTCCTCAACCTCCCAAGTAGCTGGGACTACAGGCATGGGCCACCATGCCCAGCTGTAAGTTATTTCTTAAGGTGAACTCAGATGTTATGTTTTTGTAAGTGTCTGCAATCATGGACAGGAATAAAATCACTTAGTTGAGAGTTTATATTAAAAAAAGTAAATAAATACAAAACTTGCTTATTACAGAAATGGAAATAAAGAAATCAGTTGTGTTTCCACCTGACAAAATTAATTTGCATGTTTGTGAATATGAGCTTGTTTGCACTGCTATCCATTATCTACAATTTGCAGAGTTGTAAAATATCTCAAAGACAATGAAAGGTGCAATGATCCCAGCTAAACCACCTAATTTTCTACTGAAGTCATCAGTAATCTTTTTGATGCATTTCAAAGTCTTTTATAGTTTTTCTCTACATTAGCAATCATGGAAAAAGTAGATTCCTTTCAGATGCTCCTATTTATCCCTCAGTTCTTTCACAAATAACTCCACTAGAAGCTTTCAATTAGCCGGGTGTGGTGGCAGGCACCTGTAATCCCAGCTACTTGGAAGTTTGAGGCAGGAGAATCCCTTGAACTTAGGAGGTAGACATTCCAGTGAGCTGAGGTTGCACCATTGCACTCCAGCCTGGGCAACAAGAGGGAAACTCCGTCTCAAAAAAAAAAAAAAAAAAAAAAAAAGAAGAAGCTTTCCCTGATCCTTTCAACTGATTGTAATCTCTCTCTTTTTGTAGCTCCACAATCCCATTGTCTCTTTTATGACAGTGTCTCACTTTACTATCAGTGATACTTATGTATCTACCTTATTCTCCATACTAGATTTTAAATTGCTTTTCTTGAATCCTCTGCATTAGCTAACAGTGTCTACATATATAATATGCTCAATAGATATGTGTAATTGCATTTAATGTAATTCTTATATGCATTCAACTAGTCTTAATCAGCTTTGCTTATTATAGGTAGAGATAGCACCCTCCTGCAAAGTAAGATCTGAGGAGTGATCTTTATCTGAAACAGGTCTTAGTCAATTTAGGAAGCTTATTTTACCAAAGTTAAGAACACAGGCCCATGACACAGCTTCAGGAGGTCCTGATGACATGTGCCCAAGGTTGTTGGGGCACAGCTTGGTTTTGTACATTTTACAGAGATTACAATATGTAAGATGTACATTGGTTCTGTGTGGAAAGGCAGAATAACTCAAAGCGGGGAGGGGGCTTCCAGTTCATAGGTAGGAAAGAGACAAAGGGTTGCATTCTTTTGAGTTTCTGATTAGCCTTTCCAATGGAGGCAATCAGATATGCATTTATCTCAGTGAGCAGAGAGATGACTGAGTCCTCTCTGTCCTTTCTCTACAAGGAAATTTCTTGTGAGAGAGGTATGTAGCTTTTTATCTTAGTAGCTATCTTTTTTAGGAATAGAATGGGAGGCAGGTTTGCCCTAAGCAGTTCCCAGCTTGACTTTTTCCTTTGGCTTAGTGATTTGGCGAGGAGTGGGTGGGGGTGGAGGGTGTCCCAAAATTTATTTTCCTTTCACAGACTCATATTCCACAGCATTAATACAAATCAAAGAACTCCAGACAATGCTTGCTTTAGATCTGGCCTGTTCCCAAATCTCTCTCTCTTGAACTATGAGTGCCTGAAAACATTTCCAGTACTAGATTTACTAATGAATTTAGTGAATTAAGGCATCATCACTAAAAGGCAATTATGGTGCCTCACTACCCATTAGCTGCTATTAATAGAGCAGTATGGAGCAGTTTACCAGTTTGATAGGTCTCAAAAGAATGGTAAAGAAAAGGAAGTGAGTTTTTTTCCTTTCCTTTAAATAGGAAATGAGGAAGTAGAACACTTGTAGTTGGGGATGTGTTGGGTCTACATTTAATAAAGATAAACAGAAGTCCTTCATGGTCATCCTTATGAGAAGATTTTACTGGTATTTTCTCTAGTGCAATTAGAAGTTTAGAAAAAGATTTCCATGAAAAGTGTGAATAAAATATTTTAAAACCCTTTTAATGGATGCCTCTTATTTTTTGAAATACAGTTTAGATCGTGATCATCAGCTAATATTTATGGGTTGGCATTACATTGAAATATTTATGTTACTGGATGTGGAAACAGATTGGAGAAGTTTAAAACACTGTCTTTAAAACTGGCAATGATTGCTGTGGGACCCAGAAACAGTTGGCATCCTTGCATAAAAGACACTCGATGCCAATTACTTATGCACTAAATGGGTCTAGAATTCCAGATTAAATTGTCTGCAGTTTTGATTCAATTAGCTTTTGATTCAGTGCCTATGTCTTTAATGACAAAGCTATTCCAGGAAAAGTTGAGCCCTGGAAAAGTTTTATCTAGCTAAGATCCCCCTGAAGGGAGGATGTGAGTCACACTGCACTTACATTGGCAAATAAAACCGTAGTGCATGTCTGCTCCCTGTGGATTTTAATTTGCAGCAACAATAAACTTCAAGTAATGGGTCTTAGGTTAAGTGGTTGAATATCAAATTCAAGTCACAACTAGAAGGTCTTGTCTTAAAAAAGGTGAGGTAAATGTCATAGGCCAAATGGTCTCAGAGGCCTTGTAGAAATGCCTCCCCTCTCACATTGAGATAGCTTGATTTTTCCTCCACCCCAGATATTGTCATGTGAGTCTTTTCACTTTAATTAGTTCTTTTTTTTTTTTTTGAGACAGAATCTTGCTCTGTTGCCCAGGTTGGAGTGCAGTGGTGCAATCTCAGTTCACTGCAACCTCCACCCACTGGGTTCAAGCGATTCTCATGCCTCAGCCTCCTGAGCAGCTGGGATTACAGGTGTCCACAACCATGCCTAGCTGATTTGTGTATTTTTAGTACAGACAGAGTTGCACCATGTTGGCCAGGCTGGTCTCGAACTCCTGACCTCAAGTGATTTGCCCACCTTGGTCTCCCCAAGTGCTGGGATTACAGGCATGAGCCACCATGCCCAGCCTCACTTTAATTAGTTCTTTCAATTCAGATTGCACCTTGCAGTCACAGCTCTAGGGGAAAAGGGCTAAGAATATAACAAAGACAAAATTTTAAGTTGTCAAGTCATGAATTTCCCATCGGTGTCTCTCCTTAGGGTACACTTTCATCTATAAATGGTCAGGCTGCTTTTTCCCCTTCAGTTATTCATTAATGTATTCTTTCATTTTTACTTTATTTTACTTATTCATTTATGTTCATTTATTCATTCCTAAGCAGACACTTATTGAGAAACTATGGTGTTTCTTAATGGATGTGCTATTGGCATTTTGGGTGAGATAGTTCTTTGTGAAGAACTGTCCAGTATATTGCAAGACATTTACTATTTCTGGGCTTCACCCACAAAGCAGTCCCCAATATCTGAGCATCCTAACTCCCAACCCCCACTTCCATTTCCAGGAATAGCAGAAGAATGTCTCACACCACAATTTCTGTTCTCAAACATTGCAGAAGAAGAACCTTGAGTAGAGTCCACTGCAAGAGAACATCAGGATGAATAACAAAATTCTAGACCTCAAGAAGTTGATAATCTCATAAGGAAAACAATAATACAGTGCAATGTGAGTATCACATACAAACTAGTGACTTCTGGGAATATTCTAGAAGGCTTCTCAATGCTTGAATGAGAAATGCTTGAGGTAAGTCTTTAAGTACAAGTAAAAGTTAGCTAGATGAAGATTCTAGGCATCAGGAGAGGTCCAAAGGACATTCTAGAGTTCAGACAAATGTTTTGGAAGGGCTGCAAGCAAGTTCGTCAAGGCTGGTGCATGGAACTGGAGTTAGGGAGGTGGTGGTGACTGATAAAACTGGTGTGGTTAGGGAACTAGATCAAGAAGAATGTCACAGGCCAGGCTATTGTATCTGGACTTTATTCTTAGGAATATGGGGGCAACGAGTGACATAATCAGATCTGAGTTTTGAAAAGATCACTTTAGCAAGGAGTCTGGGAATCAATTGGAGAAAATAAGACTGGTGACAGGGAAAACCATTTGGAAGATGTTGGAATAACTCAGAGAGAAACGAAGGATGCTTCAATGGATTTCAATTGATACTGCAACTAATACAGTGAGGACTGCAAACGCCCTCTAGCCAAAGACCACCAGGAACACACCTTTAGTTGAACAAGTTGGTTTTATTACTGTCGTAAATGGGGAGAGCTCTCCTCATGGGGAAGTGAGACGCATTTCAGTTAGAAGATGTTAGAACCTATTTAAAGGGTTTGACCTTCCATTGGATAATTTTGGGGAGAGTCTGAGGAAACAGAGTTACTCACTATCAAAAAGTGAAGGCAATTCTATGATTAAGTATCTCAATAAATCTTATCTATAGAAAGGGGAGACTACAGGAAGGATTAGTAAGGAAATACCAGTCACTTACCTTGGCTGGGAGAGAAGGTTGTTCAATGTTTTGTGGGTTGCACAGTGATCTTATTTTTGTCTCACTTTAACATGGTTTACATTGTATATAGAATGCAAGGGCTTGGCTGTGAGGGGAGGTAAACAGGATAGCAGTTAAATGGCATTGGTGACCAGGCACAGTGGCTCATACCTGTAATCCCAGCACTTTGGGAGGCTGAGGTGGGTGGATCACCTGAGGTCAAAAGTTGGAGACCAGCCTGGCCAACATTGTGAAACCTCGTCTCTACTAAAAATACAAAAATTAGTCGGGCATGGGGGCACACATCTGTAGTCCTAGCTACTGGGCAGGCTGAGGTAGGAGAATTGCTTAAACCTGGGAGTCAGAGGTTGCAGTGAGCGGAGATCACACCACTGCACTCTAGCCTGGGCAACAGAGCGAGACTCCGTCTCAAAAAAAAAAGGCATTGGTTTCAGTGACCTTTATTTTTCATTTTTATGAAGAGAGATGCTTGATCAAGTTAATAAACTGAGGAAAAATACCTTGCAGAGAGTGAAAAGTGAGTGAGGTGAGTGAGGGGAGAGTAATTAGTGTAATAATTCTGCAGACATGGGAGATCATAAATTTTCATTGGTGAATTCCACAGAGTTGTTTGATTTCTTCTGTTGACACCTACTAGCCAAGATAAATAAAAATGGAGGACATGTGTTAATTAAATCTATTTCCTCCTTTCCAGTAGCTACTAATTTCCATTTGAAGATCCATGTGATTTTAGGGAAATTGATTCAATTTCCAGCTTTAATGTGAGACACAGAACTGAGTTTAAGCTTATCAGTTTATCCCATTTACCTGGCCTGAGGAATTAGGTAAATGGTGGGCACATGACTTAGGGTTTTTACTGTGAACACTGGGTCACATTTTTGCTTTTCCCTGCTGAAAATGAAAGCAAAAGGATTGGGTAGCAGGCTTCTTATGATAGTCAGGGCTTGGCCTGGGAATGAAGCCAAGCCTGAAAAAAGCAGAGTGGAAAGACAAAAAGAAACTTGCTTTTACATCATTTGAGCTGCAAGATCAAGCTTCATTTGAAGTCAGTTTTACCTTTGGACTTTTCAGTCCAAATATACTTTATTATTTAAGCAAGTGTAAGTTCCATTGCTTGTAACCTTTCCCTCCCTCCCTCTCTCCCTTCCTTCCTTCCTTCCTTCTTTCCTTCCTTCCTTCCTTCCTTCCTTCCTTCCTTCCTTCCTTCCTTCCTTCTTGCTTGCTTTCTTGCTTTCTTTTTGACAGAGTTTCACTGCTGTTGCCCAGGCTGGAGTAAAGTGGCGTTATTGTGGCTCACTGCAACCTCCACCTCCCGGGTTCAAGCAATTCTCCTGGCTCAGCCTCCCCAGTAGCTGGGATTACAGGTGCCCACCATCATCCCCAGCTAATTTTTTGTATTTTTAATAGAGATGGAGTTTCACCATGTTGGTCAGGATGGTCACGAACTCCTGACCTCAAGTGATCCACCCGTCTTGGCCTCCCAAAGTGCTAGGATTACAGGCGTGAGCCACCACGCCCAGACTTGCCTGTAATCTTGTCTCTAGACTAACAAATGTAAGGAGAGAAGGAGGCTGACTTTAAGGTTGATCCAGGGTTATGGTTGAGGTGGGAATGTGCAACAGGAAGAACAAGGTGTGTGAAGTGTGTTGGCAAAAGAACGGTTAAAATAATAGTGGTAGACTCAATAGGCAAGAAAGTGTCTGACCCACTTCTACTAAGATTGTCCTTTTCTCTATACCTTCTTAGGGTCAAAGTCTGTATTTTCCATGCTATTTTCTAGATTAGAGAATAGTTAAATTAGATTAATTAAATTAATATACAAATTAATTTTTTCATAAGGATGATACTGTGCTAAATTTTGTGAGAATACAAGTCTAATTTGTGTTTCTAATACTTGGACTATATAATTGGAGGTTACGAGTGCGGATGCACACGCACATGCACACACACACACACACACCATTTACCTATTAACTTACTAAGCACTTAAAAGCAAGACAAGGCAAAATATGAGGAAGAACTCAAGTGAATTTTGCAGATGGCAAGTGCAATGGGATTTGAGAAGTGGAAAGCAATCTGTGCTACACAGCTAATGTGGGGTGATTAGAGAAAATTCCCCAGGGCTCTCGTTTCTCTCAGTTGATGTGTTAGTATTAGAGAGGACAGCAGGCTTACTCTGTTTCTCATGTGGGAGATGAGATTTTTTTACTGCTCTGTGACCTTGAGCAAGTCACTTAACCTCTTTGAGCTTCATCTTTTTCATTAAAACATTTTTGATAATAATTTAAGTCTCTACCTCTTTCTCAAGGTTGTAACAAATCAAAATCATAATGAGAAACAACGGATGTTATAGTAGATTCCAAACTGGAAAGTATGAAAGAAAAGTAGGGAATGATGATTAATGGTGGTCTTTGGCATACCCAGAGCTACTCCAATTTCTCTGGGAGTTTTGGTTTTGTTTTTTGTTTTTCTCAAAAGTCTTAATTTCTGATGGTGAAATTTTTAGAAGATAGACCAGAAACAATGACAAAACTTTGAAGGAGAAACCATTATGCAAGTCATAGCATGTGTGTAACAGCCCAGGGGTTTCCCTTGCTGGCTGCCTAGACA
This sequence comes from Homo sapiens, assembly GCF_000001405.40. NCBI lineage: Eukaryota > Metazoa > Chordata > Mammalia > Primates > Hominidae > Homo > Homo sapiens. The sequence goes on along the minus strand of NW_013171802.1, from coordinate 125,718 downwards.
GAGCCAATTCAAGACAGGGGATTTGCAATAGAGAAAGAATAATTCACGCAGAGCTGGCTGTGAGGGAGATGGGAGTTTTATTGTTACTCAAATCAGTCTCCCTGGGCATTCCAGAGCAGAGTTTTTAAGGATAACTTGGTGGGTGGGGGAAGCCAGTGAGCCAGCAGTGCTGATTTGACAGAGATGAAATCACAGGGAGTTGAAGCTGTCTTGTGCTGAGTCAGTTCCTGGGTTGGGGGCCACATGATCAGATGAGCCAGTTTATTAATCCGGGTGGTGCCAGCTGATCCATCAAGTGCAGGGTCTGCAAAATAGTCAAGCATTGATCTTAGGAGCAGTCTAGGGAGGGTCAGAATCTTGTAGCCTCCAGCTGCATGACTCCTAAACCATAATTTCTGCTCTTGTGGCTAATGTTGGTTCTACAAAGGCGATCTAGTCCCCAGGCAAGAAGGAGATCTGCTTTGGGAAAGGGCTGTTACCATCTTTGTTTAAACGATAAACTACAAACTAAGTTTCTCCCAAAGTTAGTTCAGCCTACGCCCAGGAATGAACAAGGACAGCTTGGAGGTTAAAAGTGAGATGGAGTCGCTTAAGTTAAATCTCTTTCCCTGTCTCAGTCATAATTTTGCAAAGGCGGTTTCATGTGTACCTCTAACAATTCCCTCCATCATCTTAATTGTTTTAAAGTGCTTTTGTAGATACATTTTAATCTCAAATATAAAACTGGGATCAAGAGAAAGATGTATAATAAAACTGGCCATTTCTATTTTGGACTAAGGTAAAATTTCATTCAATTGAAGTTGTTCATGTAGTTCTGTTTTTGTAAGCTTTGTAAATTAATTTCTTCATAGAATAACTTGAATAAATTAAGTATAAAGTCCCAATACCAGCAAGGATCCCCACCCACATATACATTTAATACAAAGTCATAATAAGGATAATAGGGGAAATATTGCCTGTGAGATCCTTAAAGATCCTGCCCTGGATCTCTTTCTCCTTCTTTTCTTAGGCCAAAATAATTTCTATAAATCTTATTTCTGTTATTTGAACTATATGTTTTGTTATTTTCTCTTGCTTTCTTCCCAGTCCCTTGCTTGTCCCCTTGTCTACCCCTAATCTTCCTATAACATAGGATAGTTATAAAGCTTTCTTCAACAGCCCTCTTTCAGGGAACTTATATAAACCACACTTAACATCAGGAGGGATTTGCACGCAGTAGCCCTTTCATCTGAGAACCACTATGGGCTGTGATTAGGGGTCTTGAGGGAGGGCAGTGCATCATCATTACCTTAATGAGGTATAGAAGCAGAATTTGTGTTCTAGACACAGAAGAATACAGTGAGCTGCGAGCCTGTCACTGCACTCCAGCCTGAGCAACAAGAGCAAAACTCCATCTAAAAAAAAAAGAAAGTGAGGAGCATTAATAATCATAAAGCAGCATAGACCCGTCTCTCTGCTTCTAGAAGTGCCCAAGAGGCTATAGTCAGTGGCATTAACAAAGACATTCTTGAAGTAGATTGAATATCAATTTATTAATTTCTATCTTTATACCAATTTCTTCAGTGGCTTCAGTGTGTAGAGATACATTTTAGCTGTACTTATCACTCTCCCATATCCCTCAGGAGACAAAGACAGGCGATTGAAACTATTACAATAAAAAGTGGCCAGTATTGAAAGCTGCAAACAACAGAACACGCAGTGTCTAGTTTAACTTGAAAAGGAATTTATTAAGATGTTGAGCAGCTTCTCAAATGTCCAAGAGAGGCTTATAATCAGGTTTAGAGGGTACATAGCCTATAATAATTAGGCTACTGGACTTCAAGTGAAGACTGTACTGCTCCTGCTCCTGGATAGAGAAAAGGAAGCTTGCACTTTCGCACTGTCAACAATGGATATAGGACTTCACTAAATTTGGATGCCCTTTTAAAAAACTTTATTTTTGCTTTTTCACAAGATGGCACCGAAGGCGAAAAGGAAGCTCCTGCCCCTCCTAAAGCTGAAGCCAAAGCGAAGGCTTTGAAGGCCCAGAGGTAGTGCTGAAAGGTGTCCACAACCACAGAAAAAAGAAGATCCGCACGTCACCCACCTTCTGGCGGCTCAAGACACTGCAACTCGGGAAACTGACCAAATATCTCCGGAAGAGCACCCCCAGGAGAAACAAGCTTGACCACTATGCTATCATCAAGTTTCCTCTGACCACTGAGTCCGCCATGAAGAAGATAGAAGACAACAATGAAACCACCATTACCAAATTATAACTGAGATAGTGAAAGAGATCTGACCTAACCAGCTCTAGCTGGCTTCTAACCTCCAAGCTATCCTTGTTCATTCCTGGGCATAGGCTGAACTAACTTTGGGAGGAACTTAGTTGATAGTTTAAAACAAAGATGAAGCCGGGCACAGTGGCTCACGCCTGTAATCCCAGCACTCTGGGAGGCAGAGGCAGGCAGATCACCTGAGGTCAAGAGTTCGAGACCAGCCTGACCAACATGGAGAAACCCTGTTCTCCACTAAAATTCAAAATTAGCCGGGCATGATGGCTCATGCCTGTAAACCCAGCTACTCAGGAGGCTGAGACAGGAGAGTCTCTTGAACCCGGGAGGCAGAGGTTGAGGTGAGCGGAGATTGTGACATTGCACTCCAGCCTGGGCAACAAGAATGAAACTCCATCTCAAAAAAAAAAAAAAAAAAAAAACAGAAGAAAGAAAAAAAACAAAGTGATAACAGGCCTCTCCCAAGGCAAACCCCTTCTTGCCTGGGGACTCGACTGCCTTTGTGGGACTAACAAATTAGCCAAAATATTAGAAATTATAGTCTAGGAGTTGTGCAGCTGGAGGCTACGAGATTCTGACCCTTCCTAAATTTGCTCCTGGGTATAACATCATTGTTGTAAAGCCTAAGATCAGAGCTTGAGATATTTTGTAGACCCTGCACTTGATGGATCAGCTGATACTACCCAGATAAACGGGTTCATCTGATCTTGTGACCCCCACCCAGGAACTGACTCAGCCCAAGAGGACAGCTTCAACTTCCCATGATTTCATCTCCGACCTGACCAATCCACACTCCTGACTCACTGGCTGCCCCCCACCCACCAAGTAATCCTTAAAAACTCTCATCCCCAAATGCTCAGGGAGACTCATTTGAGCAATAATAAACTCTGGTCTCCTGCACAGCCAGCTCTGCATGAATTACTCTTTCTCTATTGCAATTCCCCTGTATTGATAAATTGGCTTTGTCTAGGCAGCAGGCAAGATGAACCCATTGGGCAGTTACAGCAACACACTTGTGTTCATTGAAGATGTTAAAGCCAACAAGCACCAGGTCAAACAGGCTGTGAAGAAGCTCTATGACACTGATGTGGTCAAGGTGAACACCCTGATTAGGCCTGATGGAGAGAAGAAGGCATATGTTTGACTGGCTCCTGATTACCATGCTTTGGGTGTTGCCAACAAGATTGAGACTATCTAAAGTGAGTCTAGAGGATGAATCCTAAATATATATACATATTTTCATCAGAAAAAAAATTTTATTTCCATTTCTTTACTTTTAAAAAGATGTTTAATTTTGAAATAATTGTAGATTCTTAGAAAGTTGCAAAAAATGGTTTACAGAGGTCCCTTGTACCCTGCACCCACATTCCCTCAATGGTTACATCTTACATATAGTATAAATTAAAAATACAGAATTTTTTTTTTCTGAGACAAGGTCTCACTGTTGCCCAGGCTGGAATGCAGTGGCACGATCGCTGCTCACCACAGCCTCGAACTCACCAGGCTCAGGTGATCCTCTCACCACCTCAGTCTCTCCAGTAGCTGGGACTATAGGTGTGTGCCACCACACTTGATTAATTTTGTATTTTTAGTAGCGATGGGGTCTCTTTATGTTGCCCAGACTGTTCTTGTACTCCTGGGCTCAAGAGATCCACCCACCTCAGCCTACCAAAGTGTTGGGATTACAGGCATGAGCCACTGGGCCCAGCCTAAACACAGAAATTTATATTGGTACAATCCATTGACTTCATTCAGATTTTCCTCTATAGGCACTCATTGTGTGTGTGTGTGTGTTTGTGTGTGTGTACAGTTCTATGCAATTGTGTAGAATCATATAACCACCACCATAATCAAGAAAATGCACAAGCAGTAGTCCTTGGCCAGGTGCAGTGGCTCATGCCTATAATCCCAGCACTTTGGGAGGCCAAGGCAGGTGAATCACTTGAGGCAGGAGTTCACGACCAGCTGGCCAACATGGTGAAACCCTGTCTCTACTAAAAATACAAAAAAGTAGCTAGGTATGGTGACTCATGCCTGCAATTCCAGCTACTTGGGAGGCTGAAGATGGAGGATTGCTTGAACCCAGGAGGCGGAGGTTGCAGTGAGCCAAGATCCTGCCACTGCACTCCAGCCTGGGTGACAAAGTGAGACTCCATCTCAAAAAAAAAAAAAAAAAATACTGCACAAGATCCTTACCACAAATATCTCCTTCATGCTACCCGTATACAGTCATATATGCCTCTTGCTTCCCGAACCCCTGGCAACCATGAATCTATCTCCATCTGTATACTTTGTCATGTCATTTCAAGAATATATAAATGGGCCGGGTGTTGTGGCTCACGCCTTTAATTCAGCACTTTGGGAGGCCAAGGTGAGTGGTTCACCTGTGATCAGGAGTTCGAAACCAGCCTTGACCAACATGGTGAAACCTCGTCTCTAGAAAAATTAGCTGGGTATCATGGCATCTGCCTGTATTCCCAGCTACTAGGGAGACTGAGGCAGGAGAATTGCTTGAACCCAGGAGGCGGAGGTTGCAGTGAGACAAGACTGCACCATTGCACTCCAGCCTGGGCAACAAGAGCAAAACTCCATCTAAAAAAAATATATATACATATATATTATATATATATGTATATATATTTATACATATATATTATATATATATGTATATATATTTATACATATATATTATATATATGTATATATATTTATACATATATATTATATATATGTATATATATTTATACATATATATTATATATATGTATATATATTTATACATATATATTATATATGTATATATATTTATACATATATATTATATATATGTGTATATATTTATACATATATTATATATGTGTATATATTTATACATATATTATATATATGTGTATATATTTATACATATATTATATATATGTATATATATTTATACATATATTATATATGTGTATGTATATTTATACATATATTATATATGTGTATATATATACACATATATGTATATATATTTATACATATATAATATATGTGTATATATATTTATACATATATACTATATATAATATAAAAATATATACAAATATATATTAAATATAAAAATATAAAATAGAAAAATATTTATACATATATGTATATATATATATAAATGGAATCACATGATCTTTTGAGATTAGTTTTTTTTTTTTCCACTCAGTATGTTGCTCTTGAGGTCCATCCAGGTTGGTGTATCAATAATTAGTTCCTTTTTATTGTTGAGTAGCATTCCATGGTGCAGATATGCCATAGCTTATTTAATCATTCACCCATTGAAGGACATTCCAGCAGTTTCCAGTTTAGGGCTATTACAAATATGATGTAGTTCTGAATATTCCCACGTGGATTCTTTGGTCAGCTTTTAAACTAATGTCTTCCTCAGGTGAGGCTGCTTGGCAGAGCCCAGGCAACAATTTGTGCCCAAGCCTCCAAACATATCTCCTTTTTTTTTTTAGCTCCTACAGATCATTTGCAATACAATGTCTAACATATACAAAAAGTAGACAGAAGTGTATAATGAACAACCATGTTTAGCACTGCATTTCAATAATTATCATCCAGACATTTTTTCTTTTTCTTTTTTTTTTTTTTTTGAGATGGAATCTTGCTCTGTTGCCCAGGCTAGAGTGCAATAAATAGCACGATCTCGGCTCACTGCAACCTCTGCCTCCCGGGTTCAAGCAATACTCCTGCCTCAGCTTCCCGAATAGCTGGGATTACAGGTGCCCGCCACCACAGCTGGCTAATTTTTGTATTTTTAGTAGAGATGGGGTTTCACCATGCTTGCCAGGCTGGTTTCAAACTCCTGACCTCAGGTGATCCACCCACCTTGGCCTCCCAAAGTGCTGGGATTACAGGCGTGAGCCACTAAGCCTTGCCAACATTTTTTTTCATCTATATTTTTATCCACTCTCCCCACTAACACTTGTGTTTTGAAACAAATCCCAAGTAATATAATTTTATCTGTAATATTTCAGTAAATATCTCCCAAACTTAAAAAGTCTTTTTGTTTGTTTGTTTGTTTGTTTTTAAATAACTGAAATGCCATTATCCCAATGTCACACTTTGGGTTCCTCCAGAAGCTGAAACAAAGACAAAAATTTAAGTGCAAGTCATCTGAGAGAGGGAAACATCAGTGGGGAAGTGGAGGGAGTGAGACAGAAAAAGGAAGGTTCTAAGTAAGACTTTCGCAGATGGCTGAATCTGAGTTGGGCAAGCATTACCTCCTCAGCACTTGCAGAAAGCCACAGGGGCAGGCCAACAAGACTTCAGGAGGCAAAGTCTTCAGGCAAAGAAATGCAGTTGTTGGCTGCTAAATTCAGGGTAGCATGCCCTGAAGTGGTAAGGGTGAGAGACTGTGGAGCCCAGGGCCAACAGCTTCTCTTACACAGGCTTAAAAACAGTAAACAGCCTGGGCGCAGTGGCTCACGACTGTAATCCCAGTACTTTGGGAGGCCAAGGTGGGTGGATCACGTGAGGTCAGGAGTTCGAGACCACCCTGGCCAACATGGTGAAAACCCATGTCTACTAAAAATACAAAAAATTAGCCGGGTGTGGTGGTGTGTGCCTGTAATCCCAGCTACTTGGGAGGCTGAGATAGGATAATTGCTTGAACCCTGGAGGCAGAGGTTGCAGTGAGCCGTGATGGCACTCTTGCACTCCAACCTGGGCAACAGAGCAAGACTCTGTCTAAAAAAATAAAATAAAATAAAATAAAAACAATAAACAAGTAACAAGCCAGTGTTCAAATTATTGCTAGTATGTCATACTATTTGATTTTACAGCTTATGTGTCCAAATCATTATCCAAATAAGGTCCATTTATTGTAACTGATTTACCATCATATGCTGTATAACAACATTTTGGTCAAAGACAGCACATAATACAACAGTGGTCCCAAAAGATTATAATCCATATTTTTACTGTACTTTTTCTATGTTTAGTTATGTTTCCTCACACAAATAAGTACCATTGGGTTACAATTGCTGACACTATTCAGTACAGTAACATACTGTACAAGTTTGTAATCAAGGAACAATAGGCTAACCCACATGGCCTAGGTGTGTAGTAGGCTATACCATCTAGGTTTGTGTAAGGATACTCTATTATGTGGGCACAATGACAAAATTGTCTAACAACACATCTCTCAGAATGTGTCTCCATTGTTAAGTGATGCATGACTGTACATGTTTTTTAAGTCTCTTTTTCTTTCCATTTTTTTATTTAGAAATTTTGAAGCATACAACAAACTTAGAAGAATATTATTGTGAACAAATATGTTTATCGAGATTAAACCATTAACATTTTAAATATATTTGCCTTATCACATATCTACCCATTTGTTCATCCCTTTATGCATTTCAGAGTAAATTGCAGATATTGATCATTTATCCCTAAATACTTTTACCCTGAAACACTTCAGTATAAAAATCATTACTAAGGTTTATATTGTTTATTTATTTATTTTTTTGAGACGGAGTCTCACTCTGTCGCCCAGGCTGGAGTGCAGTGGCATGATCTTGGCTCACTGCAACCTCCACATCCTGGGTTCAAGTGATTCTCCTGACTCAGCTTCCCAAGTAGCTGCGACTACAGGTGTGTGCCACCACGCCCGGCTAATTTTCTGTATTTTTTTCTTTTTTTTTTTTTAATTTTTTGTATTTTTAGTAGAGACAGGGTTTCACCACGTTAGCCAGGATGGTCTCCATCTTCTGACCTCGTGATCTGCCCGCCTCGGCCTTTCAAAATGCTGGGATTACAGGCATGAGCCACTGCGCCCAGCCCATTTTTTCCTTTTGAGGTAAAATTTGCAACAACGAAATGCACAAATTTTAACTGTATATTTGTGGAGTTACGATAAATGCATGTACCCTATGTAACCTACACCTCCATCAAGATATGGAATATTTCTACAACCTCAGAGAGTTTCCTCATTCTCCTTTTCAGTCAATCCCTACCCTCAACTTCTCAAAGGCAACTTTTTTTTAACCTAATGTTGTTCACAATGTTCTCTTACTTTATTTTATTTTATTTTTTGTTCTAATGTCTGTGGTATCTGTGGTGATAACTACTTTTTCATTCCTGATATTGGCAATTGGTGCTCTTGTTGGGAACAAATTTCCTGTGGGTTCCTTCATGTTTCTGCAGGTCCTGTGAGTAGAGGCACTGACAGCCTTTGTTCTGAGTTATCTTTTAAAGATGTTTGTATTGCAAATCACTTGGTAAATAGTGACAGTGGAGCCCTCTAGAGCAGGGACAGGTTTTTATTTTTTTTTATTTTTTTTTATTTTAACTCTCTGGTACAATAAAGATAATTTCTACCTCAGGGGTAAAAGTCAGTCAGGTTTTCTTGCAGTCTACTATAAAGGATTAAGTTACTAAGCCTGGGTTTCCTTAACTGAGATGCCAACCCACTACATTTATAACACCTATAACACCTACCTGGGCCACTCTGTGTCTTTCTCATAGGACTTGAGGGTCTAAAAGAACTAATGCAAATGTGAAGCTCATGCTGCTTGCTGGCTGTGAGTGGTAAAGTGCTAGTCTCTGGCTTAGGAATCTCATTTAGCAGGCCAGATTCCGTGAAACTCTGGCAGATTAACTTGTTAGCTTTAACAGGAGGGTACAATCTCAGACTCTTGAAATTCTTGATGTTTGTCTTCCTTCCTTCCTTCTCTCTCTCTCTCTCTTTCTTTCTTTTTCTTTCTTTCTAGATGGAGTTTCACTCTTGTTGCCTAGGCTGGAGTGCAATGGTGAGGTCTCGGCTCACTGCAACCTCCACCTCCCAGGTACATGCAGTGATTCTTCTGCCTTAGCCTCCCAAGTAGCTGAGATTACAGGCACCTGCCACCATGCGCGGGTAATTTTTTTGTATTTTTAGTAGAGACGGGGTTTCACCATGTTGGCCAGGCTAGTCTCGAACTCCTGACCTCAGGTGATCCGCCCACCTCAGCCTCTTTGTAATCCCCTGTTGGGATTACAGGCATGAGCCACTGCGCTCAGCCTTTTTTTTTTTTTTTTTTTTAAATAACTAATTCTAGCAAGGAGTTTATCAATTTTGCTGATCTTTTCAAAGAACAATTTTCAGCTTTGCTAATTTTTTCTATTACTTTCCTATATTTTAGTTAATTGATTTCTGTTGTTATCTTTATTTCCTCCCACTTACTTCGGGATTTACTTTGCTCTTTTTTTCCCTAGCTTATTTATGTGGAACTTTTGGTCATTGATTTTTAGACATCTCTTCTTCACCAACATAAGCATTTAAAGCTATATATTTCTGAATAGGCATTGCTTTGGATGCATCATACAAATTTTGATATGTTGTATTTTTATTCATTCAGTGTGAAATACTATCTAACTTCCTATGTGATTTCTTCTTTGACCAATGGATTATTTTAAATATCTTGTTTATTTACACATATTTGAAGTTTCCCTAGATCTTAGTTTTATTGATCTCTAATGTAGTTCCATTGTGATCAGAGAACATACTCTGTATGATTGCAATTTTTAAAAATTTATTAAGACATTTTAAGATCCACTATATGGTCTATCTTGCTGAACATACCACATGCACTTGAAAACAAAATGTATTCTGGAGTTGTTGGATGTGGTGCTTTATAAACATCAATGAGGTTGTATCAGTCAGAGATCACCAGAGAAACAGAACCAGTAGGATGTGTAGATGAGAGAGAGGGAGGGAGAGAGAGAGAGAGAAAGAGAGAGCGAGAGGTTTATTATAAATAATTGGCACATGTAATTGTGGAGGCTGATAAGTCTGAGCTCTGCAGTCAGCAGGCTGGAGATCTAGGAGAGCAAATGGCATAGTTCCAGTCCTGGTCCAAAGGCCCAAGAAGTAGAAGAGCTGATGTTGTAGTATCAGAATGAAAGCCAGCAGGCTCAAGACCCAAGAAAAGCCCATGTTTAAGTCTAAGCCTGAAAGCAGGAAAAAACCTGATGTCCCAGCTCTAAAGCAATCAAGAAGGAGGAGTTCCCTTTTGTTCTATTCAGGTCTTCTACTGATTGGATGGGGCTCATTCACATTAAAGAAGGCAGTCTATTTTACTCAGCCTACCAATGCAAATGTTACTTGAACCCAGAAATACCCGCACAGACACACACAGAATAACATTTGACCAAATGTCTGGACACTCTGTGGCCTAGTCAAGTTGACACATAACATTAACCATCACAGAAGTCAAGGTGGTTTATAGTATTGTTCAAAACACCTATGAATTTCTTGATTTTTTTTTGTTTAACTGTTCTATCTATTGCTGAGAGCAGAGTGTTAAAATCTCCTGCTGAGATCATGAAATTGTCTATTTCTCCTTTTAGCTCAGTTGATTTTCACTTCATGTATTTGGAAGTTCTGTTATCAGGAATGTGAATCTTTATGATTAGGTATATACAAATTATTCTTTTTTTTTTCTTTTACTACATCTGTAGCAAAACTGCATACACATTATTTCTTCTGAAGAATTGACCCTTCTTTTTCTTTTTTTTTTTTTTTTTTTGAGACAGAGTCTGGCTCTGCCACCCAGGCTGGAGTGCAGTGGCACCATCTCGGTTTACTGCAACTCCGCTTCCTGGGTTCAAGCGATTCTCTTGCCTCAGCTTCCCGAGTAGCTGAGACTACAGGCACGTGCTACCACGCCCAGCTAATTTTTGTATTTTTAGTAGAGACAGGGTTTCACCATGTTGGCCAGGATGGTCTCAATCTCCTGACCTTGTGATCTGCCTGCCTCAGCTTCCCAAAGTGCTGGGATTACAGGCATGAGCCACTGCACCCTGCTGAGAACTGACCCTTTTATTATTATCAAATAGCCCTCTATCTCTGGCAACAATTTTTTAATTTTATTTAATTAATTAATTAATTTACTTATCTTTATTTATTTATTTATTTATTTAGAGACAGAGTTTCGCTCTTGTTGCCCAGGCTGGAGTGCAATGGCGCAATCTCGGCTCACCACAACCTCTGCCTCCCGGGTTCAAGTGATTCTTCCGCCTCAGCCTCCTGAGTAGCTGGGATTATAGGCATGCACCACCATGCCTAGCTAATTTTGTATTTTTAGTAGAGACAGGGTTTCTCCGTGTTGGTCAGGCTGGTCTTGAACTCCCAACCTCAGGTGATCCACCCACCTCAGCCTCCCAAAGCGCTGGGATTACAGGCGTGAGCCACCACGCCCAGCTACTGGCAACAATTTTTGTCTCAAATCTGCTTTTCTGCTATTATAATAGCCACTCCAGCTTTATTGTGCTTATATCTTTTTCCATGCATTTCTTTTCTATTCTTTTTTTGAGACGGAGTCTTGCTCTGTTGTCCAGGCTGGAGTGTGATCTTGGCTCACTGCAACCTCCACCTCCCAGGCTCAAGCAATTCTCATGCTTCAGCCTCCTGAGTAGCTGGGATTATAGGAGTGTGTCGCCACACCCAGCTAATTTTTTGTATTTTGTTTTATTTTATTTTTTGAGATGGAGTGCACCACCACACCCAGCTAATTTTTTGTATTTTGTTTCATTTTATTTTATTTTTTTGAGATGGAGTGCCATGGCACAATCTTGGCTCACTACAACCTCCGTGGGCCTCTGCCTCCTGAGTAGCTGAATTACAGGCACCTGCCACCATGCCAGGCTAATTTTTTTGTATTTTTAGTAGCAACGGGATTTCACCATGTTGGCTGGGATGGTCTTGACCTCCTGACCTCAGGTGATCTGCCTGCCTCGGCCTCCCATCCCTGGGATTACAAGCGTGAGCCGCTTTTCCCCGACTCTGCATCCTGTTTTATCAGCAGGTTCTTCCTGTATCTTGTGCCAGTCTCCTATCTCATCCTGTGACTATTCTTGCCTAACCTTCTGGGGATGCAGCCCAACAGATCTCAGCCTCATTTTACCCAGCCCCTATTCAAGATGGAGTCACTATGGTTCAAATACCTCTGACATCCCCCTACACCAGTCAGAAGTTCAGACCTCCGGAACTCCTGACTGATTGGCTTCAAGTTGGGGTTCCCATGACTCCCTCTTTGAGTTCTATTAATTTGCTGGAGTGGCTCAAAGAACTCAGGAAATAATTATATTTACTGTTTTTTTGTTTTGTTTTTGTTTTTGTTTTTGTTTTTTGAGACAGAGTTTTGCTCTTGTTGCCCAGGCTGGAGAGCAATGGCATGATCTCTGCTCATTGCAACCTCTGCCTCCCGGATTCAAGCGATTCTCCTGCCTCAGCCTCCCGAGTAGCTGGGATTACAGGCTTTTGCCACCATGCCTGGCTAATTTTGTATTTTTAGTAGAGACGGAGTTTCTCCATGGTGGTGAGGCTGGTCTCGAACTCCCGACATCAGGTGATCCGCCTGCCTCGGCCTCCCAAAGTGCTGGGATTACAGACGTGAGCCACTGCGCCTGGCCTACTGGTTTATTAAAAAGGATATTGCAAAGGATACAGATGAAGAGACGCGTAGGGTGAGGTATGAGGGAAGGGACGTGGAGTTTCCATGCCCTCCCTGTGTGTGCCACCCTCCAGGAATTTCCATGTGTTCACCTATCTGGAAGCTCATGAACTCTGTCCTCTTGGATTTTTATGGAAGCTTCAGGACATCAGCATTCCTTCCCGCAGGGTATAGGGTGGGACTCTCTCGTGGGAGGGTCTTAAGACCCAGAGTCAGAAAGGTGCGGAAACTATGGAAGAAGGGCAGGAGAAGGTCAGAGGCCTGTTCCTGAGGTCTAACATACCCAACTTTATAACAAATGACTGTAACAAGGGCTATGGGAGTTATGAGCCAAGAGCTGTGGATGAAAACCTATATATATATCACAACACCACAGGCTGTTACTTTTTCCCAATCTAGCCTCTTATCCACTTTTCAAGGACTCTTCATAAGTTCTGGACCTTCAATGGCCAAGGTTCTTGTTTTCCAATGCACTGATAAGTTTAAGTATGTTAAGTATGTTTTCTTTTCTTTTTTTTTTTTTTGAGACAGAGTTTTGCTCTTGTCGCCCAGGCTGCAGTACAGTGGTGTGATCTTGGCTCATTGCAACCTCCATCTCCCTGGTTGAAGTGATTCTCCTGCCTCAACCTCCCGAGTAGCTGGGATTATAGGTGTCTGCCACCATGCCCGGCTAATTTTTGTATTTTTAATAGAGATGGGGTTGTACCATGTTGGCCAGGCTGGTCTCAAACTCCTGACCTTAGGTGATCTGCCTGCCTTGGCCTCCCAAAATGCTAGGATTACAGGTGTGAGCCCCCACACCCGGCCTAAGTATGTCTTTTCTATCAGTCCTAGGGATTTATGGCATGAAGAGAAGGCTCCAACCACTATGTATCAAACTCACTCTTTTTCTTTCTTCTCTCTCTCTCTTTCTAATAGTGACAACACAGATTTAATTATTTAGCTAAGTAGAAAAGGAATAGGAGCAATTCTCAGTAAGATGGGCTGAGAAAGGCAAATGATACATTTTTCAGTCATCGTAAAGGGAAGACTTTTAGGAGTTCAGTGTTCTGATTGTAATAGAATACTAAGCCTGTTAAGTTTATAAGTTTGATTTATCTCAAAGTTCTGCTTATTTCATCTAGGCTTTGAATTTACCTTGAATTTCTCCAGTATTTGCCTTGAATTTCAGATTTTTTTGGTGGACTATGCTTTTAAACATAAGATTCTAAAGTTACATTCAAATACTGCCACCTTGTGGGTTATTCTTTGTTTCCCCATCCCACCCTTTAATTTGGTGGAAACAGATTCATCCAGGCAGTTCATTTCAGGTTATGTCAATTAAGTTGCTAAGAGTTGTACTAAGAGCTTCATATATATAATATATACATTATATTATATATATATATAAAATCTCATTTAAACTTCTTAAGAACTTTATGAAAGCAATACTATTAACCCTATTTCAGAGATGAGGAAACTAGGCTTAGAGGGTTTATGTAACTTGCCTGACATCTCACAGATAGTAAGCATAGGAGTAAAACTTTATATCTGGGCACCTTGCCTCTAGAATCCTTGTCTCCAGGAGTAAAACTAACAAATCTAAAAATAAAACAGTGTGATACATTATATGACTAAGTGATAGAAGCAGTATAAAGGGAATAATTGCTAGGAAAGGCCATCCGGAAAGTCTTCACAGATATGTGGGGAGGTGACCCTCTGTAAGTAAGGATTGGAAAGATAATGATTCTATAGGAAGAACGCAGCTGGGACCATACACCTGAATCCAGAAGAACACAAACACCCTATGTGGCCTATTGTTTTGTCTGCCTCACCCTGCTTTCTTTTGGGGAACTACTCTTCACTCTGCTTTAACCATGACTCTAATAGAGGATGTCAATCATGTTATCCTTGATTCCTCACCTAATCCAAGCCGACATGAGTCCGTCAGGTGCCTAGAACTTTTGTGCTTGAGATAATAGGCTCAGTGCTATCTTCCCTAATGGCAAACCTGAGGTGAGATATGTGATTTATGTGAGGTACTTAATTTGTGTGCCAGAAAGTTGTAGTCAACCAGTGATGTCCTGTAGAAGATGGTGTGGAGTAGAAGAGAATGAGGCTAAACAATAAGGTTCCAGTCATCTCTAGGCCAGCTGCACTATTGATCTTCCTCTAAAAATCATTCTTGTAGAACCTAATCAGGTTTGGGTTTCTAATCAAATTCTAGTGTTTTCTCTTCTGCCACCAGCACTGTCATTTCCTACTCCTATACAACTTGAAAGACAGCAAAATACACATAATGATGTCAGTACTTTTAATTATAAAGGATAGTACTACCAATTTATTTTGGAAAAATGGTATTTAGGGAGTTTATTATAGATGCCATGTGGCTTAGAAATATTTCTGCAGTGCTCCACTCTTGATGCCTGTACTATTCTTTTTCTACTCCCTCCGCCCATCACTGCAATCTTTTTATTTATTTATTTATTTATTGAGACAGAGTCTCGCTCTTTCACCCAGGCCGGAGTGCAGTGGCGCTATCTTGGCCCACTGCAATCTCCACCTCCCAGGTTCACGCCATTCTCCTGCCTCAGCCTCCCGAGTAGCTGGGACTACAGGTGCCCGCCACTGCGCCCGGCTAATTTTTTTTGTATTCTTTAGTAGAGATGGGGTTTCACCGTGTTAGCCAGGATGGTCTCGATCTGCTGACCTCGTGATCTGCCTGCCTCGGCCTCCTGGGATTACAGGCATGAGCCACTGTGCCTGGCCCATCACTGCAATCTTTTAAAGTCATCTCTGGTTTTTTTATTTTTTACTTTAAAAAATAAAACTACTTTAGAAACTCTAGTCAATTATTTTTCCAAACTTTGATTTTTTTAATCATTCAAGTAATATTTAAATTATTGCAATGAAAATTACAAAAGTCAAAATGATAGAAATTAAGAATCACCCATAATCCCACCATAGAAACAATCATTGTAGATATATTTTGACCTATTCTTTCATGTGTAAACACAAAATTTTTTTAAAAATCAAACAAAATGGCTCATTTTGATTTCTTCCTCCCTTAACCACATCTACAATATATTTTTCATTTAATTGTATTTCATTTGTACTATTTCCTAATTATTTTAATATTTTGTCTTGCAAATAACCAGTAAGTACTTTTGAAAGCATCTAACTTTCCTGGGAAAAGGGGAGCAATTCTACATTCCTTTGACTGGAATGTTATTTCTTTCCTGCTTCATCTACTTATCTCCTCGTTATCTAGTTATCTGAGTTATCTTCTGCTCAGTCTTTAGTTCATGTGTCACATCTTTTGGAAGTCAGATAAATCTATCAGATTAATACTTATAAACGTTGCAATTTATTATGCTTGGGAATATCTGGGTCTACATGTATTTTTGTTCACTGTTGGATCCCCAATGCTTACCACAAATTGTCCGAGACCTGGTAATTTTAACTTTTATTTATTACTATTTTTTGAGACAGGATCTCACTCCGGTTGCCTAGGCTGGAGTGCAGTGGCGTTATCTTGACTCGTTGCAGCGGCGTGATCTTGACTCACTGCAGCCTTGATCTCCTAGGGCTCAGGGTATTCTCCCACTTCAGCTTCCTGAGTAGCTGGAATCACAGGCGTGCGCCACCATGCCTAATTTTTTTTTTAATTTTTAGTAAAGGCGGGGTTTCACCATGTTGTCCAGGCTGGTCTTGAAATCCTGGGCTCAAATGATCCACCTGCCTCTGCCTCCCAAAGTGCTGGTATTACAGGTGTGACTCACCTTGCCTGGCCGTAACTTTTAAATTAATGAATGCCTGCTTGGACTAATTCAGCCACTAAGGAAATACTTTATTCATTAGCACTATTTATGAAGTATTATTGTGTGTGACTAAGGCTCTCTGCTAAGTGCTATATATCTCTATCATTACATTTTCACAACCCCAAAATACATTATTTCTCCCATTTTGCAAATGAGGAAACTGAGGCTTCAGAAAAGTGAATTAACTTGCCCAGATACAAGAGAGAGAAGTTACGAACTCAGGTCAATGCATTTATTTACACTAGCAGCTTTATTTGCCATTATTGGCTTCTTTGTTCATGAATATGAAAGTCATTATATGTAGCTTCTTTTTTTAAATATCTGGAGATACAACTTAAGCTTATTTTCTTTCTTTTTTTTTTTTTTTTTTGAGACGGAGTCTCACTGTCACCCAGGCTGGAGTGCAGTGGCTCGATCTGGGCTCACTTCAAGCTCCGCCTCCCGGGTTCACGCCATTCTCCTGCCTCAGCCTCCCCAGCAGCTGGGACTACAGGCACTTGCCACCACGCCCAGCTAATTTTTTGTATTTTTTTAGTAGAGGTGGGGTTTTACCGTGTTAGCCAGGATGGTCTCGATCTCCTGACCTCGTGATCCGCCCGCCTCGGCCTCCCACATTGCTGGGATTACAGGCGTGAGCCACCGCGCCCGGCCAACTTAAGCTTATTTTCAAAACCACTCAATTTTGACATTACAAACTGGTTTTTGTTTTGTAGAAGGACATTAAGAATAAAGAGCAAAGAAACAATTATGTGCTGGGAAGGGCAGTAGGAGGGCTGGGTCCTAGTCTCCCTTTCTCTTTCGCTAAGCAGCTGTGTGGCTTTGGGCTAGTAACCTACCCTCCCACAAAAAAGGCTTCAAAAGAGAGCAAGCAGAGCTCAGTGGGCATTAAGACATGCGCAACTCCTTTCTTTTAGAGATTAGATGAGGTCGACTCAGTGGCTTGTAAAACTCAACGTGGCAGAGCTGTACAGCCAACTCATGATTCTTAGTGTCGTTTGTTTTGAGTCACACTACACCTCCTTGAACAATCATTTACTGAGTGCTTACCGTATTAGGCATTCAGCAGCAGTGTGTTTCCCATTCAGTAACCTAGTATTGATTATTGGCTACTGTCCCTCCTAGCATTTTTCACTTGACCACTTTCTAAATGGCCTTTAGATTCAGAGTTCAAGTGGAAAAAGCCTAGTGTAAGCCTGGTGTCAGGCAGTGAGTGGCGTGACCCGGGTCGGCAGCTAGTCCTACGGTGGTGATCTAAGAGGGCAGTGACGCCTTCTGACCAAGGGAGTGACTGCCAGATAATCCGGGTGTATGGAGATCCAGAGAGGGGTGAGGCTGGGTTTACGGAGACTACACCTTTGGCTTTGCAGTAACCCCACTGCTAAGGCCATGGGAGGAAACTCTTCTGTGCAGGACGCCTATGCACTTGGCTTCTGCTGCGTAGCGACCGGGTGTCCAAGGCATCCTGCCAGGTCTCCTTCTCCACTCGGGTTTAGCCTCCCCCGCGAGTCTCCAGCTACCTAGAGAGACGTTTCTAACTACGAGATGGCTGGCCTGAAAGGGACACTCCCATCACCGTTGTTGGCCTAGAGTTCCCCGCTGCGGCCTTTTTCTTTTCCCCGCCCCTGGCCTGAGTCAGCGGCCCCAAGGCCGGCGAGGTCAAGTTCCTTTGGGGCGCCAGGGAAAAGGCCATGGCAGAGGTGCTGCCACGCGAAACCTTCTGGGCAGGCACCAGCCAATCATCAAGAGACATACAGGAGCCCCAGCCAACCAGCGCCCGCCTTATTACTGGGAACCGCCCGCTCGGGCCCTTCCTCTACATCCCCGTTCCCGATTCCTGTAGTAGCGGCTGTATTGCAGCCGCCTGCCGAACTGACCCGGGTCTGGGGACTGGCCCCTCTGGCGCCGTTCGGTTTCTCTTATTGCCTTCACTGAGGATGAGTCCCTTTGTGGCTCTATGTGGACCCTGCGGAATCCACCGGCGCAGTTTCATCTAGCGACTGGTGAGGGAGGGCTTGGCGCTGCCCGACCGTGCGGTGCGGCTTCCCTTCAGCCCGGGGGCAGGGGGAGAGTATTCGCCTTCTGGAGGGTGCGGGTGGCTGCGGACGGCGGCGCGGGGGGACCGTGGGGAGGGGACTCTGTGGCCCCGAGGCTGCCGGGCTTCGCGCGAGGCGGCGCGGAGAGGGCCGAGTGGCCAGGGTCCCTACCGCCCCCCTCAGCTAATGAATGGCCTGTCCCGGCGATGCGCTACGCTCCCGTCCTGCTGGACACGCCCTCCAGCGACATTGCATTCCTAGTTGTGATAGTTATGTAGTGTCACTTTCCTTCGAGTCTTGGATTTGAAGCCATTCCTGTGGGCGCTCATGTTCCTTATCCCCTTCCTGGAGTCACAAGTTTGAGTCCACCCTGGGGATACTGACTCTGGGGAAGCAGGTCGTGAAATCTGATAAGTGGACATTGATTGCTATGTAAAAAGGAACTGATTCTTTTTGGAGGGTGGAGGGTTGAGAGAGACAGAGAAGACAGGCCCTTTGTTTTTGTAACAGGCAGAGCTGTCTGGCTCAAAGAGTTTTAGTTCAGCTGCGAATTAGGTAACATAGGCCGTCCTTGACTCCTGTTTTCCAACGTAGTTCATAAAACTTGACTGTGTTAGCCAGAGATTCATGTAGCACCTTTTAACTTATGCCTCGAAGTAGGCCATTTGAAATTTATCAGAAATACTGAAAGGATATGACTTTTATGAGTAGTAGTGTTTCAGTGCCCATAAAGTGGTGTAAATTCACAGGCTTGCCAGCCCCCTCTTGATCATTTCTCTTTTTGTATTTTGAATTCCTTAACTTTTATTTGTTTTAGAAATTGAGGCAAGGTAGATGAGGACAAAACTGGTTTCTAAAAATAATTACATTTGCAAATATTTGCAGAAGCTTTAGTCAAACCAGAGTTTACTTCAAGAAATTTTTTAGGCCGGGCGCGGTGGCTCACGCCTGTAATCCCAGCTACTGGGGAGGCTGAGAATTGCTTGAACCCGGGAGGTGGAGGTTGCAGTGAGCCGAGATCGCGCCGCTGCACTCCATCCTGGGCGACTGAGTGTGGCACCATCTCAAAAAAAAAAAAAAAAAAAAAGATGCCTGTAATCCCAGCAGTCTGGGAGGCCAAGGTGGGCGGATCACTTGAGGTCAGGAGTTCGAGGCCAACTTGGTGAAACCCCGTCTCTACCAAAAATACAAAAAAATCAGCCAGGCATGGTGATGTGTGCCTGTAATCCCAGCTACTCGGGAGGCTGAGGCAGAATCGCTTGAGTCTCCAGCTGCCCTACCAAACTGCTTTTGAATTCAATTATTTTGAATTGAATTCCATGGTACTTTTTTCTACTACACTATACTACTTGCATTGAAATTTTTCTAACTGCCTTTTGGGAGAGCAGTTTGGTAGCATAGAATAGGTGGGATCAAGAGCACTTTTCTGTCGGTATTATTTTAGGTAGGCTTTTTAAACTTTCACATGAATCTCCTCATCAGAAAATGAAAGTGATCATATTTACAGGGGCAATAATAAGGATTATATTTATGTAGAGCACTGTGTATAATGTATAAAACAAAATTTCACCTATAATTTTTGTGTGTTTTTTCCGTTGTTTAATTTTGTTTTGCTTTACTCACTTCCAAAGTATTGACCCCTTACTCTTCTTTCTAGTTTCCCTATCTGTTCTCCAAGCCAGAAACCTGGGAATTACCACCACATCTTGTCAATTCAAGATCCTAAGTATGTCTTTGGATTGCCTGCCCTTTTTTTTTTAAATCTCTAAGAAAAGGCACATAAGGCTGTTCAAAATCCTGTCTATCCTTGTGTGTATGTTAGGCCTCACTTCTTTCTGTCTTCTGAATTATTTAGAAATTTTGGAATGGACCAAGATGATTCTAGTTCTTTTATATTTACTATCCCTTCTGCTTCAAATGTGCTCTCACCCAGAATTTATCAGGCCAACACATATGGTACTCTTTTTTTTTTTAGAAGGAGTCTCGCTCAGTCGCTCAGGCTGGAGTGCAGTTGCATGATCTTGGCTCTCTGCAGCCTTGACTGACCAGTTTTAAGTGATCCTCCCACCTCAGCCTCCAGAGTAGTTGGGACTACAGGGATGTGCCACTACGCCTAATTTTTGTATTTTTTTTTGTAGCGATGGCTTTCACCATGTTGCCCAGGCTGATTTCAAAGTCCTGGGCTCAAGTGATTTGCCTGCCTCAGCCTAACAAAGTGTTGGGACTACAGGCATGAGCCACTGTGCCTGGCCAGTACTCATCTTTTAAGTCTTAGTTTATACATAGTTTATCTCCTGTAGAAAGTCTTACCTGGACCCCTCTTCTGCACTCCCCGTTCCTATGTGTCACTTGTTTTATCTTGACCATAGGTTTATAATTATGATATGTTTTAGTTACTTGCCTAAATAAAATTACTCTCTTCTACCAAACTGTGACCCTTTGATAATAGGAACTGTGTAATAGATCATAAGTTTTGTTCAGTTAGTACATATGTTAAACTAGCTATGCATCCACCTGAGTATTATCCATGAACCTGTATTTTATTTTATCTAAAATATTTAGGTCCTAATTATTTTTGTATTCCCAATGCCTTGTGACCTACTATGGATGCGCTGAAGAAGACAGTGTAACGTAGCAGAAATAGCACGGACCTCATCATTAAACAGATCTGTATTTGAAGTCTGACTCCCTCTTTTCTTGGTGGTATGATTTAGGTGGTTTACTTGACTGGTCTGATGTAAAGCATTCCGTATGTATTAGGTCTTTAAATGCTTATTTCCTTTGCTTTCTTCCCCTTCTTTAAGCAGTTTTTGAATGCATAGATAAGAAGTACAATAGGCATTGGAAATATGGGCCTGGAGTTTAGGGCAAATATGTGAGCAAGAGACAGATTTGGGGATTTATAATCATGTGTACGGTAGAGTTAAAAGCATGAAAAGGATTGAAACTATCAGGAACAATATGAAGTAGAGGACTGAGGATTATTTCAGAGAAGCCCAGTTTGAAGGACAGGGGAAGCGATAATGCCCTAGGAAGAAGTGGTTAAGAGAGAGAGCCCATGCTTAAATGTTTCTGCGACTTCCTGCCCTTCCTGGATCTCTTTTAGACTCCTTAAGGGAATGAGGTTTTAAAGACATAAAAGCAGGGAAGGCAAGTAAGAATTGAAAATATCTAAAAGTGTTTGGTAATTTGGAAGTCATTAGTAACTTTAGCAATAATGATTTCTTTGGAGAAGTGGTAACAAGTGATAATGAAGCTCAAACATGAATTTTGGAGTTAAAATGTATTACCTTTTTATGACTGAAGAAACAATAGTAATGAAAACTATTATTTGTCGAATGCATATTTAGTGCCAGGTACCATGTTAGGTAGTTTCATTTATCATTATAGTAACCATGTGAAGTCCATGGATTGTTTCTATTTTCAGATGAAGAAACGACTTGGAGAGATTATGTCATTTTTTAGTTATATAACTGATAACAGCTGACATTGCTATATTTGAATCTATGTATGTAAAACTCTAAGAAATCCTAGCTCTTAATCGCTTCCATGTTTATGTTCATAGTATTCTGTAGGTGCCGCTTTCTCTATATGATAGTATGGAATGACTTTTTAACATTCTTTTTTCCCCCCTTTAAATGTTTACATTATATATACTAATGAATTAGGGAATTCTTTTCTGTTGTATCTTAATTCTTTAATGTAAGGTTTGAGTGATTCACCAGTAAGTAGTTCCTTCCAGGTATTATGCATACAATGAAAATACAAACATGGTGGGATTTTAGAGCTTTAAAAGAATGAAATTAACTGGATGAACTATTTTGCCACATACAATAAATAGTCCCTACTTATCCAAGGACACATTCTAAAACCCCCAGTGGATGCCTGAAACTGCAGAGAGTACTGAACCCTATATATGCTATGTTTTTACAATTTGCTAACCAAGAGGGCTACTCAGTGACTATCGAGTTGGTAGCATGTACAGTATGGCAATGCTGGACAAATGTATGATTCATGTCTCAGGTGAGGTGGAGTGGTTTGGAGTGGGACACTATGAGATTTCATCATACTGCTCAGAATAGTATGCAATTTAAAACATAAATTGTTTATTTCCAAAATTTTCATTTAATATTTTTGGACTATGGTTGATTGTGGGTAATAGAAACCATAGAAAGCAAATGGATAATGGGGAACTACTGTGTCATGCTTTCCATTTTTAACCTTTTAAAGTACTTGACGATTGGTACCTTTTTTTCTCTTTGCTACCAAACACTTTTTTTTTTTTTTTTTGAGACAGAGTCTCTCTGTCGCCCAGGCTGGAGTGCAGTGGCACGATCTCGGCTCACTGCAAGCTCCGCCTCCCAGGTTCACGCCATTCTCCTGCCTCAGCCTCCCAAGTAGCTGGGACTACAGGCGCCCGCCACCACACCCGGCTAATTTTTTGTATTTTTAGTAGAGACGAGGTTTCACCGTGTTAGCCAGGATGGTCTTGATCTCCTGACCTCGTGATTCGCCTGCCTTGGCCTCCCAAAGTGCTGGGTTTACAGGCATGAGCCACCGTGCCCGTCTTTTGTTTTGTTTTGTTTTGTTTTTGAGACAGAGTCTTGCTTTGTCACCAGACTGGAGTGCGGTGGCGGGATCTCGGCTCACTGCAGCCTCCACCTCCTGGGTTCAAGCATTTCTCCTGCCTCAGCCTCCCAAGTAGCTGGGATTACAGGAGTGTGGCCAGCTAATTTTTGTATTTTTAGTAGAGATGGGGTTTCACCATCTTGGCCAGGATTGTCTTGATCTTTTGACCTCATGGTCCGCCCACCCCGGCCTCCCAAAGTGCTGGGATTACAGACGTGAGCCACCGTGCTCGGCCCCCAAACACATTTTTATTTGTTTTATCTTGTTCTTTTTGTTGCTGTTGTTCAAATCAGTGTTTTAAGGGGGAGATGATTTTTATGAGGACTATATCAAATTACAGAATGTATTAGTAGAACAGATCTGGAGCTATTAAGTTGGTACAAAAGTAATTGTAGGTTTTGCCATTAAAAATAATCGCCATTACTTTTAGAGGGTTGGTTGTTGTGTTGGTGGTGGTGATATAGTTTTAGGGGGTATAGGTTTGGGATTGGATTCTTAAAAGTAATTGCCATTAATTTTTTTTTTTTTTTGATACAGAGTTTTGCTCTTGTTGCCCAGGCTGGAGTGCAATGGTGTGATCTTGGTTCACCACAAACTCTGCCTCCTGGGTTCAAGCGATTCTCCTGCCTCAGCCTCTCGAGTAGCTGAGATTACAGGCATGTGCCACCACGCCTGGCTAATTTTGTATTTTTAATAGAGATAGGGTTTCTCCAGGTTGGTCAGGCTGGTCTCAAACTCCCAACCTCAGGTGATCTGCCCGCCTCGGCCTCCCAAAGTGCTGGGATTACAGGCATGAGCCACTGCGCCTGGCCATTGCCATTACTTTTACTAGCAAAATCTGCAACTACTTTTGTACCAACCTAATAGAGAAGATTATAATCATCTAGTTTCCAGGTGGAGAAATCAAAGTAGTTAAGATCAGAAAACTAGTTAGATCTCAGATTTCTGACTCTTTGGTGTGGTATGAAGTGGGAGTGGAAAAATACAGATTTAGAATATTTCATACTTCCCTCTGATGCATAGAAGCTTTCCCTATACATATAGTAAACTCAAGTATGTCCTTCTAAATAGTCTTCTTATAGCCAATTTTCTCTGCTCCCAAAGACTACACATTAAGGAAGATCTAAAAGACCATATATATTGAGGCAAATTTTTCTCCTTTTGTCTTTAAACTTTTTAATGTAATTTTTAAACTATTGAATTAATCTTTTATGACTTTCGGATTTCAGATCCTGCTTAGAAAGGTGTTTTGTACTTTGTGATTATAAAAAAAGAGTCTTTTGTATTTTCATCCAGTGCTTTTGTAGTTTCGTTTTTTTGTTTGCCTTTGAACCATCTAGAATTTATATTGGTATAAGATATAAAGTAAGTACCGTATCTAAAGTTGTTTTTTAAAGATAGCTATCCAGTTGTTTTAATACCTTTGTTTAATTATCATCTCTTCATGTGATGAAGGACTTTTCAGGCAGAGGTAACAATATTAACACAGTGCCTGGGTACTTAGTAAAAACGGAGTAACTGATGAGAGTGTTGGTTATTGTTGTGTTGGTGGTGATGATACAGTTTTAGGGGGTATAGGTTTGGGATGGGATTCTTAGAAAGATGGTAGATTTAAGCGTATTCATAGCTTGTGGGGACATAACTAGTAGAGTGTAAAAATACAGCATAGAAGGAATGAAGGACTGGAAAGAAAGAGAAACTCCAGAGTACAACCAATGTGGGTTAACTTTAAACATGAGAGTGGAAAAATGGAGTAAGGATGACTGATAAAAATATAGGTACCATAAATATGAAAGGTCGATAGATTTAAGAAAAAAAAGGAATTAACCCGTTTATGCCAGAGGTTGCAAATGTTTTTTGTGAAAAATCAGATCTTGGCGATGACCTTGAGCATTAGGATATAAATAACTCCCGTAAGCTTAGTGTTCCAGTAATGGAACACTAAGCATAAATGGGTTAAGGGCATCTAAATATGGAGGTAGTTGTGTTCTAAAGTACTCAAGGAGAGCGAGAGACAGATTTTGAATTTTTATTTTCTCTTCTCTTTCTCTTATAGGTCACCCTTGCAATTATGGATATTTAAAAGGGTCAGACAGTGTGGAGGGGGAGTTCCCCTCCTCACTCCCCCTTGGTGCTTGACTCCAGGAATAATTTATAAACTGTGGAATTTTTTTAAATGAAGAACTTGTATTTGATATGAACTTTATAGAGCTATTTATAATTTTTTTGATTTAAGTGCCAAAAAATTGTATAAAGATATATAGTTTTATACTATTGTCAGGAGGATTTAAATTATCCTAAAAAGGTAATTTATTCTCTGTAACTTCCTCAATAGCACCTTTGTGTCCTGGCTTTTTCATTTTTTAAAATTAGTTTTCACGATTCTGAAGTAAGTGGTATAAAAACAGTTAGGATGAGTTCACCCATGCCTGACTGCACATCAAAGTGTCGATCCCTGAAGCATGCTTTGGATGTCCTTTCTGTGGTAACAAAGGGGAGCGAAAACCAGATTAAGGCCTTTCTCTCCAGTCATTGTTACAATGCTGCAACTATCAAGGATGTTTTTGGCAGGAATGCCCTCCACCTTGTTTCCTCCTGTGGAAAGAAAGGAGTGTTAGATTGGCTTATTCAGAAAGGAGTGGATCTGTTGGTGAAAGACAAAGAGTCTGGATGGACAGCATTGCACAGAAGCATTTTTTATGGACATATTGATTGTGTTTGGTCTCTATTGAAGGTAATTGTCATTTGTTTATTTTAAACGTATTTAGTCTGGAATATGTTTTTCTTAATCATTTTCATACATCCTACATGCTTTTTGGAAAATATTTGCATTTTTTCTTGCTTGTTTGCTATCTCTTACTACTGTAACTGATCTTTGGAATTAAAACTCCATATATCCTTTTACTTAACTTTTTTGTGATGTAAAATTTTAAACATTTATCATGCTTACTATATATAATGAACTGTTGGCCAATTTTGTGTTATTTGTACATCTCATAATATTTTGAACTAAATCCCATACATCATTTAATGAGTATTATACATTATTAAAAGAAATACTTTACATTAAGTAAGCACAATTTATTTGCACAAAGAATGATTTATGAATCGGGCAGCATTCAGAACCAGAAGAGGCTCAGAGAGCTGTGCTGCAGCCTGAGCAGTGAGCTTTTATAGGCCGATGCAGAATAAAGACAAAGAAAATATATTTAATTGGTTAGAGTGGAAAGACCCTAGTTAGAGGTTAGTTGGTGGTTTCTGATTGGTAAAGACTCTAGTTTCATTTTACTGTTTACTGGCTGTGTGTTTACTTATGGATAAACTTAAAGTGCTAGAGTTGCCCCAGTCTAATGGCATCTCAATTAGTATTTTTGTAACAATATCTTTTAGTATTTTAAAATGATTTATTCTTAAATAACTATATTATTAACTTTATTTTATTTATTTATGTTTTTGAGATGGAGTTTCGCTCTGTCGCCGAGGCTGGAGTGCTGTGGCCCCTGATCTCGGATCATGGCAAGCTCCGCCTCCCGGGTTCACACCATTCTCCTGCCCCAGCCTCCCAAGTAGCTGGGACTACAGGCACCCACCACCACGCCTGGCTAATTTTTTGTATTTTTTTAGTAGAGATGGGGTTTCACCGTGTTAGCCAGGATGGTCTCGATCTCCTGACCTCGTGATCCACCCACCTCGGCCTCCCAAAGTGCTGGGATTACAGGCATGAGCCACCATGCCCAGCCTATTATTAACTTTAAAAGGGCAGTAGTTGTTGAACATTATTTAGGAATTGTGTTTTTGAGTAGTATGTTTCATTTCTTGTTTAGTTAACATACGGTGTTTATAAGCTCTAAAGAAACTGATGAGGCCAGGTGTGGTGGCTCATGCTGTAATCCTAGCACTTTGGAGGCCGAGGTGGGCCGATCACTTGAGGTTATGAGTTCGAGACAAGCCTGGCCAACATAGTAAAACGCCATCTCTACTAAAAATACAAAAATTAGCCAGGTGTAGTGGCGTGTGCTTGTAGTCTTAGCTACTTGGGAGACTGAGGCATTAGAATCAGCTAAGCCCAGGAGGCAGAGGTTGCAGTTTGCCAAGATCGTGTCACTGCACTCCAGCCTAGGCGACAGAGTGAGACTCTGTCTCAAAAAAAGAAATTGATGGCCAGGCGCGGTGGCTCACGCCTGTAATCTCAGCACTCTTGGAGGCAAAGGCAGGTGGATCACCTGAGATCAGGAGTTCAAGACTAGCCTGGCCAACATGGTGAAGCCCTGTCTCTTCTAAAAATACAAAAATTATTAGCTGGGTGTGGTGGCACATGCCTGTAATCCTAGCTACTTGGGAGGCTGAGGCAGGAGAATCACTTGAACCCAGGAGGCGGCGGTTGCTGTAAGCTGAGATCGCACCATTGTACTTCAGCCTGGGCAACCGAGGACGACTCCATCTCAAAAAAAAAATCATTAAAATTGTTTAATTTATATAAAATTTTCTTTCTAGTAGATTAGGTGTGTTGTATTGAATAGGCAAATAATAAAGCGTTTTGAAATACACCCCAATGTCATTTCACTAATGAATGCAAATTAGAAACTCACTGTCAGAAGTCATGAGTTTTAAATTTAACAATTTTATTTTATTTTATTTTTATTATTATTTTTTTTTGCGACGGAGTCTTGCTTTGTTACCCAGGCTGGAGTGCAGTGGTGTGATCTCCGCTCACTGCAACCTCCACCTCCCAGGTTCAAGTGATTCTCCTGCCCCAGCCTTCCCGATACCTGAGATTACAGGCATGTGCCACCGTGCCCGGCTTATTTTTGTATTTTTAGTAGAGACGGGGTTTCCCCATGTTGGCCAGGCTGGTCTTGAACTCCTGATCTCAAGTGATCCACCTGCCTCAGCCTCCCAAAGTGCAGGGATTACAGGTGTGAGCCACCATGTCTGGCCTTAAATTTAACAATTTTTTTTGTATAGGGATTTTGTCATGTTTGTGGAGGACCTGGAAAAGAAAAAAACAGTTCTGGTCCTTAAGGAACTTCTGGTCAAATTCAGAAGCTTACCTTCAGTGTCTTCATTTAATTTTGACTTAAAAAATATTTCTGTAGTGGCTTTTATGTAGTAACATTTACTGATAAGAATAATTTTTATTATATAGTAATAGTAAAATATTCTTTTGTGGAGTTAAACTCCCTACTGATCTTCTACTATTACTGCTACTACTACTACTACTACTACTACTACTACTACCACTACTATCTTCTACTACTACTACTACTGCTACTACTACTACTATCTTCTAGTACTACTACCACCACCACTACTACTACTACTACTGCTGCTGCTGCTGCTGCTGCTGCTACTACTACTACTTAGTGAATCATCGTGGACAAATTATTAAATCTTGAACTTCAGTTTTATCTATAAAAAGAGAGTAATAATAGCACTTTCCTTTTTTTTTCCCCCCCAGGGACTATCCATGAAGTAAAGCATTTTTAAGTTTGTTAATGGTAGAGAAGATTCCTCTTATATCTGAAACCTTGGGGTATCTGTTTAATTCCCTTATTGTCATTATAGGGAAAGCTAGGTTAGTAAGAGTTAAAGCATCTCTCAGCTCCATTCTTACCCTTTTCCATCTGTAAAACCTTGGCTTTTTTTTTTTCAGTTTCTGCTGGAAAGTTGGATGACTGCCAACCCTGCTGAGTTTGAGAAGGTCCCTGGGTTTGGGTTTCCTGCCATCCTAGGGGTTGCCATTTAGGTGTTAGCATTTAGGGCTACAGTTTGAAATAGTTATGGTCTGGACTGAATTTTGGTCCTTTCCTTCCTGTGAGATTTTATTGCCCCATCGAAATCCTCAGTCACTCTAGCCACCTTGGCTAATAGAAGCCAGGAAATTGTGCCGTTGTCACCTTGCCCTTAGCTTGACTGTCTTATTGGCATCAGAGCCCTGCTGATCAGTGATAGATACATAACAGTGGATGTATTCCACTGACGGTTTTCCCCTAAATCCTGTATTAACCATTCAGCATTCTCATGTTGGTAGGCTGTCTGCTTTTGTTCAGCATATTTTTTTACTTTGACCTTCCAACACTTCTTTAATTGGAAGGGGTGCAGTGATAGGTGTCTTCATGTCAGTTCCGTCTCTGATGTCAGCTGTAGCACTTCAGGTATTATGGATTATCAGGAAGAAACCACACACATTTTAATGAATTTAAATTTGATAAAACTTCATAGCTATAACATTTGTAAATTGCACAGTAAATTGTCAGTTTCTTAATGCCAAAGATATAAAACCTTAGCAGAAACTTGTTGCCTACAAAAAGCTGGAATAGAGACAGATTATCTTATGTAGCTCTTTTGGGGCTTCTTGATTCCATGACAGGATGCATGGCTGGTAAAGACTGTTTATGCTTGTGGAGTCCTGCTGTATCTGTTGTTGCTAAACCATTGCTCTTTTATACTGGTGGTTTACTTACTATTCTGGAAGAACTTGCTTTAATTTTTCCCATTTGTAAACAGAAGACTTCACAGAATCATAGGTTATATGGATTAAATAATATACTGTCTGTGAGGTATTTGGAACAAATATTTTTTGAGTGCCTGATATGTGCCAGGCAGTAATCCAGGTGCTAGGGATATTGCAGTGAACAAGACAGAATCCCTTCTTTGTTTAAGTTTTTATTCTACTAGGGGGAGATAGACCAAAACCAAAACCAAGCAATTAAATTAATGAACAATGGCCGGGCATGGTGGCTCACAACTGTAATTCCAGCACTTTGGGAGGCCAAGGCGGGCAGATCACCTGAGGTCAGGAGTTCGAAACCAGCCTGGGCAACATGGCAAAACCTCATCTCTACTAAAAATACAAAAAGTAGCTGGGCGTGGTGGCACATGCCTGTAATCCCAGCTACGGGGGAGGCTGCGGCAGGAGAATCGCTTGAACCCAGGAGATGGAGGTTGCAGTGAGCCGAGGTCACGCCATTGCACTCCAGCCTGGGTGACAGAGCAAGACTCCGTCTCAAAAAAACCAAAAAAAACAATAACAACAAAAATTAATGAACAAATAGGAACATGCTTGATAAATATTGATGTATTAGAGTTATTTTTGCCTGCAACTGGAACCAACTATGGTAACATAAACAAAATATATTGAAGGGATATCAGATACCTCGCAGAATAAACAGGTCATCAACAATTAACTGTCAAATTATAAATAAGAAAAAATTCCTCAAACTAAAATAGAGTAAGTATAAACTAAATAAACTGATTTGAAATTTTATGTCTCTCCTTCTCCAGATAATTTTTTTTTGTTTTTTTGAGACGGAGTTTCACTCTTGTTGCCCAGGCTGGAGTGCAGTGGCGCGATCTCGGTTCACTGCAACCTCTGTGTCCCGGGTTCAAGTGATTCTTCTGCCTCAGCCTCCCAGGTAGCTGGGATTATAGGCATGCACCACCACACCTGACTAATTTTTGTATTTTTACTACAGATGGGGTTTCAGCATGTTGGCCAGGCTGACGTTGAACTCCTGACCTCAGGCGATTCATCCACCCACCTCCCAAAGTGCTGGGATTATAGTCATGAGCCACTGCGCCCGGCAGAGTGTGGCTCCTCAAATGCAAGAAGAGTTAAATGTTTATGTTCAGATGCACTCCCACACAGACACAAACCCAGAGCTAGGGACTTGTAGGGACAGTGTATTTATGGGGTATTAAAGGGGTATCAGAAATGCTTTATTGTTAAAAATGTTCACATGGCCGGGAACGGTGGCTCACACCTGTAATCCCAGCACTTTGGGAGGCTGAGGCGGGCTGATCACGAGGTCAGGAGTCCGAGGCCAGCCTGGCCAACATGGTGAAACCCCATCTCTACTAAAAATACAAAAATTAGCCGGGTATGGTGGTGGGCACCTGTAATCCCAGCTACTCGGGAGGCTGAGTCAGGAGAATTGTTTGAACCTGGGAGGCGGAGGTTACTGTGAACTGAGATCGTGCCTTTGCACTCCAGCCTGGGCGACAAAGGCGAGATTCCGTCCCCCCTGCAAAAAAAAGTTCACATGTAGTTAATTTTTATTTAAAATGTTAATTTTTTATTTCTTCACATTTTCTGATTCTTCCTTATTCCAGCAAGAGTCGGATATGTGATTTTTCTTAATTATTCTCTGCAGTATGTGAGAGAAAAATGTGTGTGAATATGAGAGATAATCATTATTAAATTTTTTTTCAGTGTATTTATGGGGTTGATTATCTGACTTTTTGATACATAAGAATAGGAAGTCGGCCAGGTGTGGTGGCTCAGCCTGTAATCCCAGCACTTTGGGAGGCCAAAGCAGGTGGATCACCTGAGGTCAGAGGTCGAGACCATCCTGACCAACATGGAGAAACCCTGTCTCTACTAAAAATAGAAAATTAGCCGGGCGTGGTGGTGGATGCCTGTAATCCCAGCTACTTGGGAGGCTGAGGCAAGAGAATTGCTTGAACCTGGGAGGTGGAGGTTGCGGTGAGCCAAGATTGCGCCATTGCATCACTCCAGCCTGGGCAACAAGAGCGAAATTCTGTCTCAAAAAAAAAAAAATAATAATAAAATAGGAAGTTACTGATGATATAGGTAATTAATAATATATATATATTTATGTATTTGTTTGTTTGTTTGTTTTAGCATGGTGTTAGTCTGTATATTCAAGATAAAGAAGGCTTGTCAGCTTTGGATCTTGTAATGAAGGATAGACCAACTCATGTAGTATTCAAGAATACTGGTAAGAAAATTTCACAAATGGGCTGGGCGCTGCGGCTCACACCTGTAATCCCAGCAATTTGGTAGGCTGAGGCAGGCGGATCACTTCAGGTCAGGAGTTCGAGAATACTGGTAAGAAAATTTCACAAATGGGCTGGGCGCTGCGGCTCACACCTGTAATCCCAGCAGTTTGGTAGACCGAGGCAGGCGGATCACTTGAGGTCAGGAGTTCGAGCCTGACCAACATGGTACAACCCCGTCTCTACTAAAAATACAAAAGTTAGCCGGGCATGGTAGCAGGCAATCCTAGTTACAGGCAATCCTAGCTCCTCTAGGCAATCTTAGAGGCTGAGGCAGGAGTATTGCTTGAACCTGGGAGGTGGAGGTTGCAGTGAGTTGAGATCTTGCCACTGCACTCCAGCCTGGGTGATAGAGCTAGACTTCGTCTCAAAAAAAAAAAAAAAAAAAACTTTACAAATGTATTCCATTAAGGTGCAGCTTAGCTTAGAAAATTTTAATGAAATTTTATTCTTCTTAAAGTAGTGGGGAAATTTATTTGTGTGTGGCTATCTGCAAAGAAATTTTACTTTGGTATATGTTGGATATTTTTTGTTTCATATTCAGAACAATTTTATTTTGCATTTTAAAATTTCAATCCATATTTATGTCTATATAAAAGTACAATCTAAAATGGGAGGACTGTTATAATTGTAACTACTGTAAAGTAATTGATATATACTCAGAAAGTAACATCAGCATTGAGGTAGAAGGAAAAAGGAATGTAAATTTTTATTCCTTTTGTTATTTTTGAGATAGGGTCTCTGGAAATTATCATTATTTTTGTGGTTGTTGTTGAGATAGGGTCTCGCTTTGTCAGTCAGGCTGGAGTGCAGTGGCAAGAACACGGCTCATTGCAGCTTCAACCTTCTGAGCTTAAGCCATCCTCTCACTTCAGCCCTCCAAGTAGCTGGGAATATAGACCCATGCCACCATGCCCAATTAATTTTTTTTTTTTTTTTTTTTTTGAGACAGTTTCGCTCTTGTTGCCCAGGCTGGCGTGCAATGGCGCGATCTTGGCTCACCGCAACCTCCGCCTCCCGGGTTCAAGCTGAGAGGCTCTCTTCTCTCAGCCTCCTGAGTAGCTGGGATTACAGGCATGAGCCACCATGACCAGCTAATTTTGTATTTTTAGTAGAGATGCAGTTTCTTCATGTTGGTCAGGTTGGTCTCGAACTCCTGACCTCAGGTGATCCGTCTGCCTCGGTCTCCCAAAGTGCTGGGATTACAGGCATGAACCACTGCGTGCGGCCAATTTTTATACTTTTTTTATAGAGGTGAGGTTTTGCCACGTTGACCAGGGTAATCTGGAACTCCTGAACTCCAGTGATCCTCCCTCCTCGGCCTCTCAAAGTGCTGGGATTACAGGCGTGAGCCACTGTGCCCGGCTCCAATTATTTTTTTATTCACACATTCTCAGTTTCACTTATCCCTCCAGTTTGTTTGCTCTTTGAGATTTGGAAGTGGGAATTGGCAGAAAAGAAAAGATTTAATTGGGGCACTGTATAGTTTGCATTTAACTAGTAAGCAAGCTGAGTAAGGACACATTCTGTATTTCTATTTCTACCCTGGATACTGCATTGCAGGTTAACAGTGATAATTCCATTCTAAGACTTTATTCATCTTCTAAAATAAAAATGAAGATTTATATCATGAACTTAGCTGTGATTTGTATTCCAGTTTAATGGGCTTTACCCTAATCACTAGTGTGATTTTGTGTCTATGAAAAACAAAGTATTGAAAGTTAGTGTTCCTGTACAAAGAGTAATATCACATTTGCAACATTTAGAACCTTTGTATGTGTGGATTAATAATATCTTACATTTGATACAGTTCTATATATTATTTTCATGGAAACTAAGTAGATATGGCCGGTGGTGTTTTACTCATTTGGCAGTTAAACTTTAGCTGCTAAAGAAACAAGAAACAGCCTGGGCAGAGTGGCTTATGCCTGTAATCCTAGCACTTTGGGGGGCCGAGGTGGGAGGATCACTTGAGCCCGTGAGGTGAAGACCAGTCTGGGCAACATAATGAGACCTTGTCTCAATTATTAAAAAAAAACAACAACAAAAAAAAAAGAAGCAAGGAACAAATGTTTGATTGCTTGCATTGAGACAGGCCTGTACTATGATTTGGATTTTCTATTTCTAGAATTACCTAATATCATATTAATATATTCATTCAGAGAAGAGCGTTGGCATCTTTCTAAATATTGTAGTTAAATTAGTTCTTATATGTGTTTTAAAATATAAAAAAGTATAAAAACTAATTTTTATTTTAGATCCTACAGATGTTTATACTTGGGGCGATAATACAAATTTTACCCTGGGTCATGGAAGCCAGAATAGCAAACATCATCCAGAGTTGGTGGATCTGTTCTCCAGGAGTGGGATTTATATCAAGCAGGTATTTTTGAAGTACAATCTATATACTTTTAGAGATGAGAAAGAACTTTTGTATTTGATTGTTCAGCTTTTCATGTGGATTACATAACTTTGTTTCAGGTACAGTAACATTTTAATGAGGAAATCAATCAATAGAACTTTGCTAATTTTATTTTAGATATTGTTAGCCTTAATTATATTTAGACTTTGTAAAATACCCTAAAATATAAGATATTTGTGCAATTAGTGTTAGAAATTAGAAAATGTTATACAGATAGTAGTTTAATTTAAGAGGGTAAAGCTTCTCTTGATTTTCTAGCTTTTCTATTTAACAAACATTACAATTCTGTAAGCTGTTTCTCAAGTGAATTTGTTGTTGAAGCTCAGTGTTATTTTTGATAAGTGAACAACAGTTCTTTTTTTTTTGGTGGCATTAAAAAATAAAATAATTTCAATTTAGAAAACAACACACTTCTTGCAATTTTTTGTAACAAAATAATGTTTTTAGGTTCCAAGCTATTTATCATGAAGAGAATATGTTTAATCTTATGTGAAGTTGGATGACAGCAGTCTGGAAAGGCTATAGAGTTTTTTAACTGAGGGTCTGGTAAACTGCCAGTCATTCTATTTAATTATTTGTATTCACACTGACAAGCAATAAATAATTAAATGTCTAAGTCTCAGTTCTCAGTTTGGATAGTAGATAGAACTAAAATTTCATCACTTATGGAGACAGATAAGCAATGTTTTGGAAGTGTGGGGTTCAAAAATTTGCCCTTAGATGCTTAGGCACGAGTGATGCTTTTTGTGAACCTGAGTTCTTAAATGTAAGTAATTGTAAAATTTTAATAGATACAATTGTAAAGATTTGGTCTGTGGTCTTATATCCTTACAATGCATGATATCTTCTACTTCCCCAGATACAGCTACTGTTGACAAATCTTTCTGTATTACATTGTGTATATGTGTGTATGTATGTGTATCTCTAGCCCCAGTCTTTCTCTTGAACTTTATTTCAGTTGTACTGTGGGTATTCTTTCAAGATATTTAAATTTAGAATGTCTGAAGTGTTATTTTTGCCACTCCTAAACTACCCTATTCAATTTTTAATGTTATAAATCTCAAATTCTAAATCCTGAAGATGATACCTCAGAGCATGTCTATTTAGTTCTTTTCTGTCTCATGAACCTAGGTGCCATGTCCTTTTCAAGCTCTTTTTTTGGACAGTGACAACAGTGTCCTAATTTGACTTTTTGGCTCCATTCATTTCAACCCCAATAATATTCTTCTCCAGAATTATTTGTCTTAAAAAAGAGCTAATTATGTGTTTATCTACTAAGTCACCTTTGGATAAAGTCCAAACTCTGTGGCTTGGAATGTAAGAACTTTTTCAGTCTTCCTAAATTACCATTTCAACTTACATTTCCTACAACTTCCTAGTTATATTCTTTCTGCATTTTGAAGTTCATAAAACTTCTTTGATCCAGAATATGAGCTTGGAGTGTTTTTATCACTATAGTACTGGCTCTTTCCAACTTTCACCTATTATTTATATATGACATACATAACAACACTTAGTTTATATCCTGAGATTGAATTCTTAGACAGTTTTTAGAGCTACTTTGACAACATATCCCTAGTTTGCCCAGGACAGTTCTGGTTTATGATTATTTTCCTAGTGTAATTGTTAGTATCCCCTTTCATTCTCAAAAATGTTTGCATGATAAATAATATGACCACTATATTTAGGGCTCCATAGAACACTATTTTTTAAACTAAAAGTCACAACCTAATGCATCACAACCAGCAATTGAACAAAAAAAGCAATAGAATCCTTAAACTCTAGAGAATATTAAATTTTGAGAGAACAGGAATAAAAACCCATATAGGAATGAAAAGTGGCTAGAGAAGTAGGGAGTAGAATGGTGTCATGAAAGCTAATATTCTTGTGGGTCTTCTCTGTAGATGTGGAGGGAACTTAGGATAATGAAAGGACTTGTGATGGGCGAGAATCAAGCTTGGTGTCCAAGTCTTTAGTGAATGTGAGAGGGGTGAGCAAGATGGTGAGAAATCAGAGCAGGGGCAGCAAGTGTACAAGCTGCTCACCTAGTCTAGAGCTTTTTGCAGACATGCTAGTCAGTTTTTTTTTTCTCATGCTGAGCTTGAGTGGGTCCTCAGACTCCTCCTTAAAATGATAATCCAACCATTAGCAGCCACTAATGATTGATTGGAATTGTGGCACAAGAAAGACACCTGTTTTTCCTTTTTTGAGGTAGTACATGATATACCTTTATTTCATGAGCTGTTACGGAGCAGGGATTTTAAAGACAAGAGTGAGGGAATCATGATGGCATTAGGAAATCAGAGGGTGATTGAAATGTCTGATCCAAAGAAATATATAGTTTGGAATATTTGAGCATATTCCATTTGCCAGGGTTGTGAGTGAACTAGTGTACTCAAAGAGAAAGCCACATTTCAGGTAAGGCAAGGCAGTGGGCGTGTTTTGTGAAGGTATTAAGGATCTAAGGGATTTTATTTACCACAGAATGAGGGTGAAGCAAGCACAGTGGGTAGGTTTGAAGGAAAGAAATCAGTATAAATTTCAGTCAGGGAAGAGAAAGCAAGTATGGGAATATTAATTGAGTACCAGTTATATAGAGAGCCCCATTTGTTATTGAAAAGGGGCTGATTCTATATTATACAGTACCAAATTAATTAACTACCATGAGACAGAGATTATTAATGTTAGTATTATATATTCCAGATAATTAAAAGCGAAAATCCATGCTCAGTTCTTATTTAAAAATTCAGGGGTTTTAGGCTGGGCGCAGTGGCTCATACCTGTAATCCCAGCACTTTGGGAGGCTGAGGCGGGCAGATCACGAGGTCAGGAGATCGAGACCATCCTGGCTAACACAGTGAAACCCCATCTCTACCAAAAATATAAAAAATTAGCCAGGCGTGGTGGCGGGCACCTGTAGTCCCAGCTACTCGGGAGGCTGAGGCAGGAGAATAGCGTGAACCCGGGAGGCAGAGCTTGCAGTGAACCGAGATGGCGCCACTGCACTCCAGCCTGGGTGACAGAGCGAGACTCCGTCTCAAAAAAAAAAAAAAAGTCTGGGGTTTTTAAAGTTGGATAACTTAAAACTGTCTAGTATTGCAACTGTTGTTTAGTAGTAGAAGTCAGCAGTTGTAGGATGGCATTCTAATATTTAATATAAAATTGAATGAAATGTATTCTTTCTTATTTCATAAAATGAATTTCACTGACAACTTGTAAATTTAAAATACAAATTTGGATTTTATTTTTAAACTTTTTAGGTATTTGTGGTACAGCTAAATGAGATAATAATCTTTGCATTACTTTTTTTATTTGATAGCTATATTGTGCTTACAAAATTCCGAGCGGTCTAGGGTATGTGTAAATATTTAGAGCTTGTCTAGCTTATAATTTTTTTGTTTTCCAAAGGACCTTGACTTTCTGGAAATGATTTTAGGGTTTCTTTATTTCTTACTCATCTTTTTATATCCTAAGTTAGAAATATTTGCAGATGTTGTAAGAAATATAAATGCAAACAATCTTTAAAAATGAGAAGATTTTAAAAATATTATTAAGGTAAAGTGAGTATAATGAATATCAGAGCTTGGAAAATAGCAAAATGTGGCCCAGGGTTAGATATGTAAATATATATATATTTGAAACTGCTGATGGTTTCCTGTTATTGTGTTCTGCTGAGGCAGTTCAACTGTTTCAGTATCTTTGTCTTCTGTAGTATGTGAATAGTAAGTCTGTGTATCAGGGGCAAGGGAGTGTACTGAGATTGAGGCAGATAAGGAAAAAGGAAGTGGGAAAGGAGAGAAAAACTTGAAAATAAATATAAAATTATTTATTAAAATAATTATAAATGTATATTAAAGACATGTTGATAAAACCAAAGATAAAGAAAAGGACATACTGCCCCCTACGCCATGTATAAATGGCTTTATTGTTTTTTGAAAACACTCTGAAGATGTTTCTATTATTTTTATTAGTACCATATATCACTATTTGGTAATCTTTATGCTTCCTGTTGCACTTTGCTCATTTCTTACTGTTTGATATTTCATGAAACTGGAAAACAACTGGCTACTAATTTTTGGAATTGAAGGTTTAAAATTATATTTTCCTTTGGGTAATCTCTTCTGTGGGTAACACATGCTTAATTCTTTCTTTGTTCTTTTTTTTCGTGTCAATGTTTTTAGACATAATTTTAAAACAAAGCATATGTATCTTTTATTTTTATTACAGGAAACTTAAAATGTGGAAATTAAAGTCTTATAAATTCCCCTTGTATCCATTATCCTGTTTAAACAATTAACAATATTCTATTTCTTTTTCATAAAATAAAGGATATTTTATTCAGAGAAGTTTAATAATATTCTCTTGTTTTCCCTTAGGTGGTGCTTTGTAAATTTCACTCCGTGTTTCTGTCTCAGAAAGGGCAGGTTTATACCTGTGGTCATGGTCCTGGAGGGCGATTAGGACATGGAGATGAACAGACATGCTTGGTAATTGAAATGTCATTACACTATTTAGGTAACTTTAGAAAAATGCTGATAAGCTGAAAGATTTAATTAACTAAATTTTTTTTTCAACTGTAAGGACGAAATAATACATCAATTGATAATAGATTTTAAAAAATCTGTTTCCTGATATATCATGTTTAAATTAAGGATTTACATACAATGCAAAAGGATTAAAAAAAGTAATACTTTGCTTATAGCAAATACTGAGTCAGGAGCGTTACATAAGCTTTAAAATGTTTCTAGAGTTGAAATAGAAGAAGGCAGACTAGGCCGGGCGCAGTGGCTCACGCCTGTAATCCCAGCACTTTGGGAGGCTGAAGCAGGCGGATCACCTGAGGTCGGGAGTTCGAGACCGGCCTGGCCAACATGGAGAAACCCTGTCTCTATTAAAAATACAAAATTAGCTGGGCATGGTGGTACATGTCTGTAATCCCAGCTACTTGGAAGACTGAGGCAGGAGAATTGCTTGAACCTGGGAGGCGGAGGTTGCGGTGAGCCGAGATTGTGCCATTGCACTCCAGCCTGGG
Source organism: Homo sapiens (assembly GCF_000001405.40). Lineage (NCBI taxonomy): Eukaryota > Metazoa > Chordata > Mammalia > Primates > Hominidae > Homo > Homo sapiens. The sequence goes on along the minus strand of NW_013171802.1, from coordinate 86,258 downwards.
CAACAAGAGTGAAACTCCGTCTCAAAAAGAAAAAAAAAAAAACAAAAAAGAAGGCACACTAATTGTAAAACACTTTTCCTGAAGTAGTTCTGGTTTTTGTTTTTAACTTCTCATTAAGATTTCTGTGGTCTAAAAATTGAGCCAGTATTTTCATTATGTAGTCACAAAATTTATATTTGTGCTACTGAAACTTAGTGCTAATTAGAAGAGACCTAGTACATTACCTATCAGAAAATTGGTTCACTACGTTATTTTAAGATGTTTTTTGTGGGGACTTCTGATATACTTATCTATTAAATGGTGCTTTTAAAAAGAGGGAAAGCTATAATGATAATAGCTTCCATTTTTGAGGGTTTATTTTGTTCCAAGCATTGTTTATGCTTTTCATATATAATATTACCTTAAGCCTCACAACAGCCCTGTGAGGCACAGGTATTATCTTCATTTTATGCATGATGATGACACTAATAATAGCAATCGTTTATTGACTGATTACTGTTTTCAGATGAAGAAAATGAGGTACAGAGAGGTTAAGAAATTTGATTTGAGATCAAATAGGTAGTGACAGAAGTAAGATTTGAACCCAGGACAGATAAATGACTCCAAAGGAATATGATACTATATGTTTGGCTACTCCCCGAAGGGAAACATTGATTCTGTATTTTTGTTTTTTTTTCAATGTACCCGTGTATACTTTGATGAGCTCCCTTTATTCATACCAAACAAATTTGCACTTGGTAAGGGCTCAAAAATCATTTGTTGAATTGAATTATTTCACTGGAATGTCTTACTGGGCTTATGTATTTTGCTCATAAACTTACAACCATATCCTTTTAAACTCATCTACCCTTTGCTGAAATGTAGAATTTACCTATGATAGATACAGCCATGTATCAGTCATGTCATTTCATGTCATTTTAGATGTAGTATCATCAAATTCTATTTGCATATCTGTATAAATGGTTAATGTAGTATACTAAAGTTAATTTTATTTTGTAGGTCCCTCGGCTTGTGGAAGGACTGAATGGTCATAATTGTTCCCAAGTGGCAGCTGCTAAGGATCATACTGTTGTATTAACTGAAGATGGATGTGTTTATACATTTGGTCTAAACATTTTTCATCAATTAGGAATTATTCCACCGCCTTCCAGTTGTAATGTACCCAGACAGGTAAGCTTTACTCTTTTAAATAATAAGGTTTTACATTTGCAATAAAACCTGTATGAACAAAAAAATGTAAGTTATTGACAGAGCAACTTATTTTATTTCTGTTATTTAACTTTATCTTCAGTGGTATATACTGTCTTTATTATTTATTATTATTATTATTATTTTTTGAGACAGAGTCTTCCTCTGTTGCCCAGGCTGGAGTGCAGTGGTGCGATCTCAGCTGACTGCAACCTCTGCCCCTCGGGTTCAAGCGATTGTCTTGCCTCAGCCTTCTGAGTAGCTGGGATTACAGGCACACACCACCATGCCTGGCTAATTTTTTTTTTTTTTGAGTATTTTTTAGTAGAGAGGGTTTTGTCATGTTGACCAGGCTGGTCTCAAACTCCTGACCTCAGGTGATCTGCCCACCTCGGCCTCCCAAAGTGCTGGGATTACAGGTGTGAGCCACTGCACCCAGCCTGTTGTCTTTATTTTTAACAGGAGAAATTAAGCATAGTACATATTAGCATTTGTTTGGAGTAAGAAAGAAAGCACTTGGGAAATTCTGCACTTGGGAGATTAGCCACCAAACTGCATCTTTTAAGTCTTCATAAGCAAAGGGAGGTCCAGATATTTTGGATTTGAAACTTAAACACTTTTTAGGCCCTCCATAAGAAAAAATATGAAATTTATCAATACCAAATGGGTTCATGCAAGTGAGGAACTCAGAGACTTAAGTTTTATTTGCTTCAGTAAATCTGCCTCTGCACAGATATCACACGTGACAAGTTGATGTTAGGGGACATGGGTCCAAAAACCAGTATTCTTTATTCTACTTTTTTACTCTCATGTGCACAGCCATCTCCAGAAGGTGCACAGTAGTGCACAGGACAATCGCACGACAAAAAAACATCTAGCCCAAAATGTCAATAATGCCACTATTGAGAGACCATGGAAATATCTAATTTAGAAGCACTGTGTTTTCTATTAAGAATGAGACTGGCTGCTTTGCATATTGCTTGTTAGAAAAAGAAAAATAGCTAAAAGTTTAATAATTTGATTCTTACACCATGTCAATTTTCTATATGTTAAAACTGCTGACTGAAAGTGGCTGCATCACAATGTTTTGTGTTCCGAGAAGGATTCAGGTCTTAGTATGAGTGCTGAGATCTGTTAGTGACAACTGCCAATTGCACTTGAGTGGACCACTAACAGCAAGTATACCATATATTTGCTGGTCTGCTGGATCTTTAAAAAATTGTACTAGGTCATAAATATATAGTAAATTGCAGTTTTATTTGTCTTTAAATAGATACAGGCAAAATATCTGAAAGGAAGGACAATCATTGGCGTTGCAGCAGGCAGGTTTCATACAGTCCTATGGACTAGAGAAGCTGTTTACACTATGGGACTAAATGGTGGACAACTGGGTAAGAAATCCTTAATGACAATATCTGGAAATTAAATTGGACTCTTTAAAAAATTATCTTTTCTTTTTAATTTTTATTGATTAGAATGAGATTATGAGTGATTTTTTGTTTGTTTGTTTGAGACAAAGTCTCACTCTGTCATCCTAGCTGGAGTTCAGGGTGCGATCACAGCTCACTGAAACCTTGACTTCCTGGGCTCAAACGATCCTCCCATCTCAGCCCCCCGAATAGCTGGGACCAGAGGCCCCTACCACCATGCTGGGCTATTTTTTGTAGAGATGGGGTTTCACCATGTTGCACAGGCTGGTCTCGAGCTCCAGGGCTCAAGGGATCTGCCCACCTTGGCCTCCCCAAGTGCTGGGATTATAGGCATGAGACACTGTGCTTGGCTAAATAGGACTCTTAAAAGAGCTATTTTGTGATTTGCTTATTTGTATCATTTTTTAGGTTGTTTGCTAGATCCCAATGGAGAAAAGTGTGTAACTGCTCCTCGTCAGGTCTCTGCCCTTCACCATAAAGACATTGCTCTGTCTTTGGTTGCTGCAAGTGATGGAGCTACAGTCTGTGTTACCACAAGGGGAGATATTTACTTACTTGCAGACTATCAGTGCAAGAAGATGGCTTCTAAGTATGTGTATTTCTGTGAAAGAAACGTAATTTTAATAATAATTCAACTCTTCCAGCAAATATCTGAGTGTTAGCTTTATGCTATGTTCTATAAATGTCAAATGGAAAAAATTGAATGAGGAAAAACATCAGGAATTTTTGTCTTTGATTTTTGTCTTTTGGCATGGATCCAGTGAATATATATAAAATTTCTGTGTAAATTGTAAAGTGGTATTTCTGAATTATGTTTAATATGTAGTTAAATATGAGCTATATATTTTTTTCTTTTTTTGTATTTTAGGTGCACAGAAATAGATTAATCATAATTCTTGATTCGTGACACTCTCATCATTGGTTCCTGTATAGCCTTTTTTACATTATACATTTATTTATCTTTAGAATATAATCATATATCATGAGCCCTCTAACCAGGCTTAGTGTTTATAACTGATAAGTATATTTTTTAAAAAAACATGTTATTATAGAATGCAGTAAAGTAGCAGTTGGTTGACTAGTCAAGTCAAAGCAAAGAATCATAAAGTTTTTGTTTTTTTTTTTTTAATTGAGACAGGTTCTTGCTCTGTAGCCCAGGCTAGTCTTGAACTCCTGGGTTCAAGCGTCCCTCCTGTCTCAGCCTCCCAAAGTGCTGGGATTACAGATGTGAGCCACTGCGCCCAGCTTCATAAAGTTTTAAGTATGGGTGGGTGCACCAACTGGAATTCCCTGTGTTTTCATATAAACCATACTCATAATGTGTCACCTGTCATTTCATTTTGAATGATTTAAGGAACCAGTGCTTAAAAACAATTGTGAAGTAATGTAAGTGCAGAATTGTACATTTTTAATACATTTTGAATCTTTTATAATTGATTAATTAGTTTGACAGTTTTTTGCTGCTCATATTTATTGTGCCATTCCAAAGTATTCAACTTCTATAGACAGGTTTCAGACTAATATGTTACCATTTATATAGTATTTTACTGTGATAAATTCATTATAAATATATACATTATTAGTTTAAAAAAATACAAGTACTTAAATAGGTCATTGTACAAATATAAATGATTCTTGAAAGTGGATAGCTCAACTAGTGGGAGCAGTTGTGTACAGGAATTCTGGAGAATAGCTATCTAACTTTTAAAACAATTGGGGATTTAAATTTAAATGCAACAAAATGCTTTTGATAATGTAAAACAGGTACCATCCATGAAGTTACTCATGAGCAGAAAATGTCTATCAATTTGTAAAAACTTACCTTCTTTGAGTAACAATTACTTTTTTTTTTTTTTTTTGAGACATTGTCTTGCTCTGTTGCCCAGGCTGAAGTACAGTGATGTGACCTATGCTCACTGCAACCCCCGCCTCCCAGGTTTTCAAGCAATTCTTCTGCCTCAGCCTCCCGATTAGCTGGAATTACAGGCATCTGCCATCATGCCCAGCTAATTTTTTTTGTATTTTTAGTAGAGATGGGGTTTCTCCATTTTGGCCAGGTTGGTCTCGAACTCCTGACCTCAGGTGATTCGCCCACCTTGGCCTCCCAAAATGCTTGGATTACAGGCGTGAGCCACTGCACCTGGCAGAAAGTTACTTTTGACTTCAATTTTAGGTTATATTTTAGTGATAGAAACATGAAAATGTGAATATGTTTCTTAAAACTGACTAAATAGGTTTTTTCCTGAGTTTGAGGTGATATGTAAGATGTTGAGTTGTATTTTTAGTTAACATTTATAAAACTTGCCTATATAACATTAAATCACATAAATATGTTATATCCAAGAGTACATTAAGGAAATTATTTTGTTACAGATTAAGTTATACAATATAGTAATTTTGAAAATTTTTTTTTCCTTTAATTTAAAAGGGAGGACAGTCATTGGAGTAGCAGCAGGCAGATTTCACATAATGCTATGCACATCAAATGTGCAGATATAATGAAATGTGTAGCTAATGAATGAGTTACTGAATAGCAGTACAGATGATTTTCATGGTAGCAATATCTGTTTAGGATTAGCCATTTTTTAAATTAAGCATTTCTATTTAATTTTGAGGTTTAAAATTTGTCTTTTCTGTTAAAATAGAGATGCACTTAGGAGCTTATAGCCATACCAGTTATTTATTTATTATTTATTTACTTTTTTAAGACAGAGTCTCTCTCTATCACCCAGGCTGGAGTGCACTGGTGTGATCTCTGCTCACTGCAACCTCTGCCTCCTAGGTTCAAGTGATTCTTCTCCCTCACCCTCCCGAGTAGCTGGGACTACAGGGGCGCATCACCATGCCCGGCTGATTTTCGTCTTAGTAGAGCTAGGGTTTTGCTATTTTGGCCAGGCTGGTCTCGAACTTCTGGCCTCAAATGATCCACCGGCCTTGGCCTCCCAAAGTGCTGGGATTACAGGCGGGAGCCACTGCACCCAGCCCATACCAGTTATTTAAACTCCAGAGTGAATGTTTGAATTAGCAGGTGGAACTTCAGGCATTTAATGTGTGTGTGTGTGTGTGTGTGTGTGTGTGTGTGTGTGTGTGTAGGTAAAGTCATTTAAGAGAAAAAGACTTGACATAGAAAGGAACAGCCCCCTTGTAGGGGAAATTTACAGAATGGAAGGCTAGAGATACCAAAGACCAAATCATTTTACTTCACCTTCACAATAATTGCCTATAGATTGTTGTTTGAATACTAACTTCTTTGAAGTTTAGGCATGTGTAGTTTAGAGAACATATTAATCTAGGATTTTTTTTTTTTTCATCTAGACAGTTGAACTTGAAAAAAGTTCTTGTGTCTGGGGGTCATATGGAATACAAGGTTGATCCTGAACATTTGAAAGAAAATGGGGGTCAAAAAATTTGCATTCTTGCAATGGATGGAGCTGGAAGGGTAAGTACATGTTTATGTAAAAGTGTAATCTTACTCTCAGTTGATAGCTGTAGCAGACCTGGTAACATGAAAATGTATTGCTATGTTAGTGACAATTCCTATTGACTTTGATGATTAGTATTGGGTGCCAAAATAAGTATGTTTTAGACATCCATTACTAATTAGTATGGAGGTGGGATTTAGAGAAAGTATGACAGACAGCATTTAATCTAATGTTGCACAATACTGATTTGTTAAACTGTAATCAAAAATTTTATTGTGCTTAAAATGAAAAGAGATTTTGATGTTATTTGGTGTATACACTGAATACTGATAAATGACACTGAATTGCGTAAATATAAGATATGTAATGTAACTATAATTTTATTTATTTATTTTTTTTGAGACAGTCTCGCTCTATTGGCCAGGCTAGAGTACAGTGTCATGATGTCGGCTCATTGCAACCTCCACCTCCTGGGTTCAGGCGATTCTCATGTCTCAGCCTCCTGAGTAGCAGGGATTACAAGCATGTGCCACTACGCCTGGCTTATTTTTGTATTTTTAGTAGAGACGGGGTTTCGCCATGTTAGCCAGGCTGGTCTCAAACTCCTGGCCTCAAGTGATCTGCCCTCCTCAGCCCCACAAAGTACTGGGATTACAGGCATGAGCCACTGCGCCTGGCCTCATGTAACTGTTAAAAAAGTAAAGATCAGGCAATATGATAAATTTGGTGCATAGTTGGAAATTTTTTTCCATATTTAGTTTTATACAAATGTATGCATTATAATATATGTATACATTATAACTATCCACATTATATATGAAATATTTCCGGATCACTAGTGTATAAGGAATTTCTTATCTCTTAAATAAAAAGTTCTAATTTTAGTTCCTTATGCAAACATATCAGTACATTTCTCTAATAAAATTATTAATTTAAAATATTTAAAAAGATTATTTTCTGAAATATATGCTTCAATTAATGTATTTATATATTATATAAAATACATCTCTAAATTGTTTTTGAGGGGTGGGAGGGTGGGAGCCATCTCTAAATAATATATTTAGATTTTAAAAATTATATTTAAAGGTATATATCATACACTAATGATACTGAAAAACACACAGTATGGGTAGAAGAACACAGATAACTTTCTGGTTTTACTTATCAAATTAAAATAATGTTTTCCGAGGTTTATAATGTGCTGTAAAGTTTGACATTTTAGAAATTGAGGAATTAATCATAAAGCTCCACATACTGGGTCATTATAGGCATATATTGTAGGGATGGAGAATGAAGATGATTTTAATAGTAGTAACTAGGTTTAAATATTAGAGCTCTACATCAGGAAGAATAGCTGTTGGATGGTGGGCGTAATACTTGGGTGATGTGATGCTCTGTGCAGCAAACCACCATGGCACACGTTTACCTATGTAACAAACCTACACATCCTGCACATGTACCCCTGAACTTAAAAGTTGAAGGAAAAAAAAAAAGAATTAGAGCTCCAGTTTGTACTAGTGGAAGGAAACAAATGGGGTTACATAAAAGAGTTGAGTATAAAAACTTATATTTGATTTTGGGATGTGTATCACTTACATTGAAATGGATATAGCTTATACTTCTGGATATTTACTTCCTGCAAAATAGAGTCTCATTAAGAAAACCAAGCTCTGAAAGCATCAGTCAGTCTCAATCAGTATAGTCTTTTTGTGTGAATAACTTTTTAGCGACCTTGTCAGATAACCATTTTGTGTTCTAGTTTTCTTAACTTGATTATGAGGGAATTGGACTTTTAAAAATCAGCAGTTCCAATTTTTCAAATGAAATTGTGCTTGGAATACCGGTATATGAAACAGATAAAACAATTGCTACTGTGGATTGGGAAGCCTGACACCCCATCTCTCATCATTCTCCATCCCTTAGCAAGTCCCCTGGAGCTACTTTTCAGGGACTCTGAGGTTTGCAGAACCATTTACAACCATTGAATTCTGTAATGACTTTTCTAAGATTTTGTTTTAGTTATATAATTGAGTTATGCATACATTTACTTTTTTCTTGAGAGTAAAGTTTGGATTTTCATAGGGGGCTCATTCTTCTTGTAAAGAGATAGTACTACAAGAAGCCTGACTTGTAAGTTGTAGCTTTAAGATTTTGTTTTTCTTTAGCATTGTAGCACATCTGTTTGCCCTAAACAGGTAATACTGGAAATTGCTACTTCTTAAGAGGAGTGCCTTTGAAATAATTTCTAATGCTTCAGGCTTGCTTAATATACTTTTCTGAAAGATATTTCTTTAAAATCATCTTGATTTTTCTTATAGTAGCTATCTTTTTCTGTGGAAGAATAAACATTGAAACATACTAATGAGAGCTTTTATTTTAACAGCATTGTCTCTTGATATCTTGATTTAAGGTTTTGGTTGTTCAAATGCTACTTGCTTTATATTTCAATGTGATTTGGTTTTGTTTTAGGTGTTTTGCTGGAGATCAGTCAACAGTTCTCTGAAGCAGTGTCGATGGGCCTATCCACGTCAGGTCTTCATTTCTGATATTGCTTTAAATAGAAATGAAATTCTATTTGTTACGCAAGATGGAGAAGGATTTAGAGGGAGATGGTTTGAAGAGAAAAGAAAGAGTTCTGAAAAGAAAGGTCAGTTCATATATTGAACAATACGTAAAAGTACCTTTCAATTATCCTTTAATTTGACAAGTATTAGGTTCAACTGACAAGTGTTATTAGGTTTTACTTTTATGTATTTATCTTTGTGATTAGTTTTTTAATGCCTGTTTCCTATTAGAGTGTAAGGTTAGTGATGGCAAGGGCCATGAATATTCGTCTATATCCTTAGCCTTTGGCATATTTCCTGGCGCATTGTAGTCACTCATTAAATCACCTGTTGTATGAATAACTCAGTTATTGTGTGCCAGAACAAAATCAAGAATGTTTATAATTACTCAGAAAATTATAAACGTATTCTTCAAAATCATAAAGCCACAGATAAATGACTTTTGTAAAATTTAATGATTTACTTGTATTTCTTTTATTTCTTTATAGATTATTCAAGTCTGTAAACATTTAATATATATTTACTATGTGCCAGATATAGGGGAAAGTTTTAAAGATGCAAGAATATATAAAATGGGCCTCTATACTGAGGCACTCATAGGCTTGTAGGGGCAATAGACATGTATGTAAATATTTGCAGTTCACTGAGACTAATGTTAATATCCACATAATAAGTTTCTTGAGAGCATAGAAATTGGAATGACTGAGTGTCAGAGAAGATTAGTAAAGCCTCATAAGACTAAAATAGAGTTAATTTGTGGGAGTAACTAGAACGTAGGTTCAACTTATGGAAGTCTTTAGAAGTGTGTCTTAGTCATATTTAGTGATCTGAAACTGAATTCATGATTTCATGCTCTAACTTCTGCTTCTCAGTGTTTTCTATTTCTGTAAATTATTATCTTTGACACTCAGATTCCCTTACACTAGAATTAATCAGTCATCAAGTTTTGTTCTCTTTCTCAAATGTTTCTTATATCTTTCCACTTTTTTCCAGATTCATTGCTACAACCTAGTCTATATCATCTTTTAATTCTTTTCCTGGATTTACAGTAATTCCTTAAATGGCCTCTTTTTATCTATTCTTTGTTTACCTTAAACATTCTTCACACTACAACCAGAATCATTTCATTCATGTAAATTTCATATCTTTGTGGAAGCACTATATCCTTTACCTTCATAGCCTTGATTTTACTTGTAATGATATAATCATTTGTGTAATGTCTGTCTTCCCTGCTAGATTGTGTACTCGAGGAGAGCAGGCACATGTCTGTCTTCTTCACTACTATATCACCAGACTGATGATATCATAGTAGCCCAGTTTGGTTACGCACATATTTTCTGAATACATGCAAGAAAGGGGGAAGAGAAAGGGAGGAAGCAAATAAACAAGCAGATTATGAAGACAGTAGATTTATATATTTTTAATCCAAGTTGAAGAATTTTTTTCCCTTTGGGCAACAGGAAGTATAAGTTGAAAAGTTTTAAAAGCTAGTATGACACTAGATTTGCTTTTTAGAAAGGGAACTTTGGTTGCAGTATGGAGGATGTGTTTGTTGAAAGAGATGGAATCATGGATAATTGAGAATCCATCCACCAAAAATTTCCTGTATAATACAGCCAATATATTCAGTGGAAAATGTGTTGAAGAGAGGATGTAGTTCTTCAAAAACACTGAATATATGTGAAAAAGATTTCCATATTTTTCTAACTCCTTTTCTATTCCATTTACTTCTCAATCATTTTAGTAGTTTCAGTAAAGCCTTGATTAATGGTAGTTTATTTTTTTTTAACAGAGATTTTATCAAACCTTCACAATTCCTCATCAGATGTGTCTTATGTCTCTGATATAAATAGTGTGTATGAAAGAATTCGACTTGAGAAACTTACCTTTGCACATAGAGCTGTTAGTGTCAGCACAGATCCAAGTGGATGCAACTTTGCAATCCTGCAGTCAGATCCTAAAACAAGGTATACTTGTATATATTAAATTTCATTTTTTAGAAGGAACAATCACTGAATTTTCTTGTTTTCAGTAGCTGCTGGTGCAAATTTAATTGAAGAGCTGTTGCCAAGACCTATAGAGACCTTAGACATAATCATGTTTACAGATTATGTCTACAGATAATCCAGAGGTAGAATTTGTTATACTTGGAGTGATGAATGTTTCCTTTGGTTTATAAACTGACATTTATTGAAAATATTGAAAATATCTATACATGCACTCACAAAGTTTATTGTCTTTCTTTTTTTTTTTTTTTTTTTTGAGATGGAGTCTTGCTCTATTGCCCAGGCTAAGTGGCAAAATCTCGGCTCACTCTAACCTCCACCTCCCAGGATGAAGCAGTTCTCTTGCCTCAGCCTCCCAAGTAGTTGGGATTACAGGTGCCCGCCACCACACCCAGCTAATTTTTGTATTTTTAGTAGAGATGGGGTTTTGCCCTGTTGGCCAGGCTGGTCTTGACCACCTGACCTCAGGTGATCCGCCAGCCTCGGCCTCCCAAAGTGCTAGGATTACAGGCATGAGCCACCGCACCCTGCCTTATTTGTCTTTCATACTGTATGATGTACCCTGGGTTCTCAGATTCTGAAAAATGTATTATAAATATTTCTTAGGCAGTTTGCAAAGATTTCTGACCCTTGAATATGATGAGAATTGGCAAAATAAGTGTTGTGGCGCCATCTGTAAATCGCAATGCAAATCTCCTAAGTCACATAAGCAGAGAGGTATCAGATTAAGATAAACATCAAGGGTACTGTTGAAGAGGGAGGAAATTCTGCAAGTAGGGTCATCATCCATCCTGGTTTGCCCAGGCCTGCCCCAGTTTTAACATTGAAAGTCTCATCTGAGAAACTCGTCAGTCCAAGGCAAACCACAGGAGGGTTGGTCTTCCTACTGAGAAGGGTGAAATGTTGGTTGGGAAGGTGTAATTGCATTCCCACAGTACTGTAAGAACCAGGGATACGGACAACTTAGTTCTTATCATTTTAATTTGAGAGAAGAATAGAATATAAATATAAAAAGGAATAGAAAAAAATTAAAGGATGATATAGCATCTAGGACTTTGTGCAATATTCTTGTATTTTAGGAAATGCCAAATTTAAAATTTTCTAAATATTGTTAAAAAAATTGCATTTTAAAGGAGAATTGGCTAGGTATGAAAAAGGATTTCCTTCATATTTTTTGAAGCATAATTTGTTTTTGTCTTCTTTCTAGCCTTTATGAAATTCCAGCTGTGTCCTCATCATCCTTTTTTGAAGAGTTTGGCAAACTGTTGAGGGAAGCAGATGAAATGGACAGCATTCATGATGTGACATTTCAAGTTGGCAATAGACTCTTCCCTGCACATAAATATATTTTGGCAGTGCATTCTGATTTTTTTCAGAAATTGTTTCTTTCAGATGGTAATACTTCAGAATTTACAGATATTTACCAGAAAGATGAAGATTCTGCAGGGTGCCATCTCTTTGTGGTAGAGAAGGTTCATCCTGACATGTTTGAATACCTTTTACAATTTATATACACAGATACTTGTGACTTTTTAACTCATGGCTTCAAACCAAGAATACACTTAAACAAAAACCCAGAAGAATATCAGGGAACTCTGAATTCTCATTTGAATAAAGTGAATTTCCATGAAGATGATAACCAGAAGTCTGCATTTGAAGTTTACAAAAGTAATCAAGCTCAAACAGTTAGTGAGAGGCAGAAGAGCAAACCTAAATCTTGTAAAAAAGGAAAAAATATTAGGGAAGATGATCCTGTAAGAATGTTGCAAACTGTTGCAAAGAAATTCGACTTCAGTAATTTGAGTAGTAGGTATGATTTCTCTTTTATATCTGTTCCTGTACCTCATTCAGTCCTCCTTTAAAAAATTTCCCACCCTTACTGTGAAACCCCATCTCTACTAAAAATACAAAAAATTAGCCGGGTGTGGTGGCGGGCGCCTGTAGTCCCAGCTACTCAGGAGGCTGAGGCAGGAGAATGGCCTGAACCCGGGAGGCGGAGCTTGCAGTGAGCCGAGATTGCGCCACTGCATTCCAGCCTGGGCGACAGAGCGAGACTGTGTCTCAAAGAAAAAAAAAAAAATCCCACCCTTTTTGCCTTGCTTTGCTTTTCTTTCCCCTCCCCAAGTCTCCTCCCACTTGTTCCATCCCCTTCTCTTTCTCCTTCCCCTCCTCTTCCTCTCTCTCCCTTTCTCCCTACCCATCCTTTTTTTGGGGAGGTACATGGATATGTCTTTCCTCCATTTGCGGGCAGAGCTATCTCTGGGACTTCTTGGATTACATTAATGGATAGGAAAGCTGTTGGTGGGTTTGAACTCTGGTTTGTGTATGTAACAGGGATCTGGAGTGGCAGGCAATGTGGTATGCTGGAAAGGTCTTTCAAGTTAGACATACATATCTCTTAGCTTTACTATTCCTGGCTGGGACAATTTTCTTTTACCTCAGTTTCTCGAACTCCTGGGCTCAAGCGATCCTTCTTACTTCAGTTTCTCAATATAAGAAATGGGAAAGATAATATTTGCCTCATATTGTTGATATGGTTTTGTCATATGTAAATTGCCTAACACCATAGTATCATATTATGAATCAGATTATTTGAAATTCTTTCTTTTTTTAAGGTATTTATGTTGCTTGTGGCAGTTAAACCTTCGTTGTAGGGTGGGAAGAGAGGAGGGGTGTGTATCGTGTTTCCTGTTTAAAAATAATGAAGGGGCCGGGCGCGGTGGCTCACGCCTGTAATCCCAGCACTTTGGGAGGCTGAGGTGGGCAGATCTCCTGAGGTCAGGAGTTTGAGACCAAGCTGGCCAACATGGCGAAACCCTGTCTCTACAAAAAATTACAAAAATTAGCCGGGAATGGTGGTGAATGCCTGTAGTCCCAGTTACTGGGTTGGCTGAGGCAGGAGATTCATGTGAACCTGGGAGGTGGAGGTTGCAGTGAACTAAGATCATGCCACCACACTCTAGCCTGGGCAACAGAGCGAGGCTTCGTCTCAAAAAAAAAAAAGGAAAAACTTTGTGCTATGGCTTTGATTTGTCTTTTGTCAGTAATGTTTAATCTATTTTGAATTCTAACTAAAATGGAAGAAAAAGTATGATATTTCTTTATCTCAGAGTAGGAGTTTGTTGAGATACTTTTCTAGGATACAGTATTATATTTAGATGTAAGCTAATTTGTTGGATTTTTTGTTGTATGTTTATTTTTGTAGGGGAATATCAATTGTTAATTTTTATCTATCCTTGATAGGTTAGATGGAGTCAGATTTGAAAATGAAAAAATTAATGTTATTGCCAAGAACACTGGTAATAAACTGAAGCTAAGTCAGAAAAAATGGTAAGTAAGGAAAGGAAGATTAACATTTCATGTCTGGATTTTGGCACTTAAGTGTGGAAATAGATCTCTGCTTACCCACATATGAAGCAAAATGTATAGGTAGATACCCTCTTACCTTTTCTAGTATTCTGCATTTCTGGAAATGTTGGGGAGCTGTTGAAGTAAATTGATAAAATATTAACTGCTGAAGACATCAAAGGAGTTTTTTCTTTCCGATGACTTTCTAATAGAGAGTGGAACTTTTAATTTTTATTTTTTCTTGCCTGAATTTTGTGCCTTGTTATAATTAGGAAATGTTATTAGCCCCCAAACCAATTAATTATACCTCTTCATCATTGTTATGATTATTGCCTTTAGTATAAAAAATTCTTAGTAATAAATATACTATTCTAAATATATTGTTAAAAAGTTTTGTTTTTAGGGCCTGGTGTGGTGGCTCACGCCTGTAATCTCAGCACTTTGGGGGGCCGAGGCAGGTGGATCACCTGAGGTCAAGAGCCTGATTAACATGGTGAAATCCTGTCTCTACGAAGAAAATACAAAAATTAGCCGGGCATAGTGGCGGGTGCCTGTGATCCCAGCCACTTGGGAGGCTGAGGCAGGAGAATCACTTGTACTCGGGAGGCGGAGGTTGCAGTGAGACAAGATTGCACCATTGCACTCCAGCCTGGGTGGCAGAACGAGACCCCGTTTCAAAGAAAAAAAAAGTTTTGTTTTTAGCTATTCATGCTTCCTCTGTAAGTGAAAAGGTTTTGGAGAAGGATAAACTGTGGAGTTGTTTCAACTGTGCTTGGCCCAGATTAGCTACTACAAATAAGTGAATTACAGAGACTTAAATATGATATCACTTAGTATTATATTATTAACAGTTTTTCTGGAATAAAAAAAAGGAAAATCAGAAAAATACTTTTTGAATATTTGTATTCGGCTCCCTTTTCAAATATTGTCTTTACTCTAAGGCCCTTATCTTCCCTGTGGTGGAAAAAGATGAAGTATTTTATTGTATGTATTCCTGCAAGTTATTTATTCTCTGCCACCTTTAAGAGAAAACTGAAAGTTAAGCCAAATCCTATAATCTTTTTCACTAAATATGTAAAGAAATTGCTCTTGCTTCAATTAAACATTTTCTTGCAGTTCATTTCTGTGTGACGTGACCATGAAATCAGTGGATGGAAAGGAATTTCCTTGTCATAAATGTGTTCTTTGTGCTAGACTTGGTAGGTGCACTTTTTAAAGCTGCTGATTTATTTGCTGTAGTATTGTTTCACTATTCTTATTGCATTGAACTTTTTTTTCTTTTAGAATATTTTCATAGTATGCTGAGTAGCTCATGGATTGAGGTAAGATTTAAGTAAAAAGCGCCTAGGTTGGTAACTATGTTTCTTTATATTTTGTGCAAAGTATGTAGTAAAGAAATTCAAAATCAGAACTGGATATTTTAGCTCAGTTTTTCATTTATATTAAACTTTATGCTTGAGGCTGCTGGAAAATAGCAACACTTAGAATTTAAAATTATTGCCAAGAAGCTACTTAAATAAAAATTTCCCCGTTATTATTTAGAAATGTATTAGGAACACCACTGTGTTTCTTGTTTTCTGAATTTTTTTGTTCCTTTTTCATGTTATGTTTTAAAATTAAATTTAATATTATTTTAGCCATGTGTTTTGTAAATTTTATGTTTTGCATTTGATGTGATTTCCTGTTCAGAGTGTTTTGTACCAATAACCCAAATTAGAATGTAATATTTTATTGTTTAGAATGAATTATTTTACTTTATTTTGTCTTATTTTATTTAGGCTTCCAGTTGTGCAGCTCTGGAAATGCCAATACATTCTGATATATTAAAAGTTATTTTGGACTACCTCTATACTGATGAAGCTGTGGTGATAAAAGGTATTAATAAGAGTTAGGACATTGTAGATACTTCACATATAATGGAATAATGGTAAAATCAACGTGAATCTTAATTTCTAATAGAAAAAAACCATCAATAAAGGCTTAATTTATTTTATTTTTAAAATATTTAATTTATTTTTTATTATTTATGGAGACCGGGGTCTTACTATGTTGCCCAGGCTAGTCTCAAACTCCTAGGCTCAAGGGATTATTCCACCTCGGCCTTCCAAAGTGCTAGGATTATAGCGTGAGCCACTATGCCTGGCCAATAAAGGCTTAATTTAGAATAAGCAATAGGAATGATTGCTAATAGTAAAGGAGCAGAAAAAGGTTTTCATTACCCATGTGAAAATGAACTCTTTGAGAATTAGTGCTTGCTTCGGCAGCAAGTATACTAAAACTGGAATGATACAGAGATTACATGGCCCCTGTACAAGAATGACACGCAAATTTGTGAAGCGTTTCATTAAAAAAAAAAAAAAAGGAATTGTAGGTAATGGTTGAAATTAGATTCAGCAGTTCAATTTCCAGCTACTTCTATGATGGAGATGAATGAATTGACAACAGGGATAGTTTTGACAAATACTTACATAAGTTCTTTCTTACCTGTTTTTCCCCTTTGTGGTTACACATCTTGAAAGAAACAGATTAAAAATTGTACCAAAATTTATGAAGAGAGGTCATTTATGTACTTTGTTAGGCAAAACAGTAACTTTTAGTTACAAGATATGTTTACTCATTGGAATGGTACTGGATGTTCTGTCATATTCCATTAGTTTTTTTTAACCCCAGCTGTATACTGGGGATAAAAATAAGTGGATAGACCTTTTTTTATATTCAAGAAACTCAATCTAGTGGAGAAGACAAATGTATAAGAAAACAAATATAATCCAACAGAGTAATTCTCTAAAAAGCAGATGCATTTTTAAGAAGCTAGCCTCTGAGTCTGCCTAGGAAATCTGGGTAGTCTTGTAAGGAGATAGAGTTTAACTGAGGACAAAATTTCTGAAGATTTGTATACTTGAGAGTAAGATAACTGAGACATGGTATGTTTTTCTCTACTTTCATTCTTTTTAAAAATCGAGAAATTATTTGCATGATAAAACTTATACTTTTAAAGCATACAATAAGTAGTTTTTAGTATGTTTATGAATTTGTGCAACTATCATCACTGTATAATTCTAGAACATTTTCATCACCCCAGAAAGATACCTTGTACCCATTAGCAGACACTTCCCACTCTCTCTTATCCCCAGTCCGTGGAAAACCCCTATTATGTTTTCTGTCTCTATGGATTTGCCTCTTCTGGACATTTTGTATAAATACAATCAAACAACATGTGACCTTTTATATTTAACTTATTTTACTTAAGTACGATGTTTTAAAAATTTATCTGTGTTGTAGCAGGTACCAACACTTCATTGTTTTTTATTGCCAAATAATATTTATTGTGTGGATATAACACATTTATTCATCAGTTGATGGATGTTGGGGTTGTTTTTACCTCTTGTCTATTAGGAATCATGCTGCTGTGAACACTCATGCCTAAGTTTTTGCGTGGGCCTATGTTTTCATTTTTCTTGGGCATATACCTAGAAGCGGAAATGCTGGGTCATCTGTTTAATTTTTTAGGAACTGCCGAACTGCACAGTGGCTAGCTGTACCATTTAACTTAACCACTAACAGTGTGAGGGTTCCAGTTTCTCCACATCCTTGCAAGCACTTACTAATATCAACCTTTTTTATTATAGCCATCCTAACGGGTGTGAAGTTATGCAACATTGTGGTTTTGATTTGTATTTCACTAATGACTAATGATGTTGAACATCTTTTCATATGCTTTTTGGTCATTTGTATATCTTCTTTGAATACATACTCAAATCCTTTGGACACTTTTTTTCTCAATTATTTGTTTTTTTATAATGTTGCAAGAGTTCTTTATATATTCTGGATATTAGTCCCTTATGGGATATATGATTTGCAAGTATTTTCTCTCCTTCTCTGAGTTGTTTTCACTTCCTTGATGAAGTGTCGTTTAAAACAAAAACTTAATTTTTTTTTATTTTTGAGACAGGGTCTTATTCCATTGGGCAAGCTGGAGTGCAGTGGCATGGTCATGGCTCACTGCAGCCTCGGCGTCCTGAGCTCAAGTGATCCTTCCCACCTCAGCCTCCCAAGTAACTGGGACTACAGCTGTGCACCACCATGCCTGGTTAATTTGTAAAAATTTTTTTAGAGACAGAGCCTCCCTATATTGCCCAGGCTGGTCTGGAACTCCTGGGCTCAAGTGATCCTCCTGCCTCAGCCTCCCAAAGTGCTGGGATTACAGGCATTTCATGATGTCCAAATTGTCTATGTTGACTTGTTACTTGTGTTTTTGGTGTCATATCTAGGAATTCGTTGTCAAATCCAAGGTCATGATGATTACCCTGTATGTTTTCTTCTAAGAGTTTTATAGTTCTGTCTCTCACATGTAGGTCTTTGATCCATTTTGAGTTAATTCCCCCCCCAGTCGTATTAAGGTGTAATTAACAAGTAAAAATTATATGTAGTCATAGTGTATAACATGATGCTTTGAGATATATATATGTATAATATCTATATTTATATATATAGAGAGAGATAATTACCACAATCAAGCTAATTAACATAACCGTCACCTCACATAATTACCTTTTTTTTTTTTTTGTGGTGAGAGTACTTGAGATCTAGTCCTTCAGCAAATCTCAAGTATGCAGTACATTATTATCAGTGTAGTGGCCATGCTGTATATAAGGTCTCTAGATCTTATTCATTCATCTTATAACTGTAATTTTGTACTCTTTGACCAATATCTTCCCATTACCCTAATCCCCTGACCTCTAGTAACCACCATTCTTATTAAGTTATTTTTTGTATTTGTTGTGAGCTATGGGTCCAAGTTTATTCTTTTACATCTGTATGTCCTATTTTTTGAGTACCATTTGTTGAAAAGACATTTGTTTTCCCATTGAATTGTTTTAGCACCTTTGTCAAAAATCAACTGACAATAAATTTAAAGTTTTATTTCTGTACTCTTCAGTTCTATTTCACTGAACTCTCTTTATGCCAGTACAGCAGTGTCTTGATTACCATTGCTTTGTTGTAAGTTGTGAAATTGGGAAATGTGAGTTTTCCTACTGTGTTCTGCTATTTCAAGATTGTATTGGCTATTTTGGGTTTCTTGCATTTTCATGTGAATTTTAGGATTAGTTTGCCAATTTCTGCAATAAAGGCAGCTGGGATTTTAATACAAATCACATTTAATTTGTAGATCAGCTTGAGGATTATTGTCATTTTAATATTTAAATCTTATAATCCATTAACACCAGCTGTCTTTCCATTTATTTAAGTCTATATATTTAAGTCTTTAATTTCTTTCAATGATTTTTGTAGTTTTCAGTGTACAAGCCTTGCTCTTTCTTAGTTAAAAATTATTAAGAATTTTTAGTGCTATTTTAAATGGAAATTTTTTTAATTTTATTTTTGGATTGTCCTTTGCTAGTGTTTAGAATTACAATTGATTTTTGTATATTGATCTTATATCCTGCAACCTTGCTGAACTTGTTCACTAATTCTAGTAGTTTTTTTAGTGGATTCCTTAGGATTTTCTATATGCAAGATCATGTCATCTGCAAATAGAGATGGTTTTACTTATGCCTTTCCAATTTGGGTGTGCTTTATTTCTTTTTCTTGCTTAATTGCCCTGATTAGATGAATCTCTAGTACTCTGTTGAATAGAAGTGGCAACAGTGGTTGTCCTTGTCTTGTTTCTGATGTTAGGAAAAAGCATTCAGCCTTTTTACCATTAATTAGGATGTTACTTGTGGGTTTTTTGTAGTTGCCATTTATCAGGTTGAGGAAGATTATTTCTATTCCTGGTTTATTGAGTGTTTTTATCATGAAAGGGTGTGGGATTTTTGTCAAATGTTTTTCTGTTTCTTAAGATGGCCGTGTGTTTATTATACTTTATTTTTGTGTATTATATTGATTGATTTTTCATATGTTGAATCATCCTTTCGTTTTGGATTTATTCTGTTAGGTCATGTTGTATAATTCCTTTTTATATGTTACTGGATTTAGTTTCTTAGCGTTTTTTGAGGATTTTTGCATCTTTAATTGTAAGGGATATTGGTTTAGTTTTCCTGTGATGTCCCTGTCTGTTTTTAGAATCAGCATAATATTGGCCTCCTTGTCTGAGTTGGGAAGTGTTCTTCATCTTCTACTTTTTGAAGAGTTTGTGGAGAATTGTATCAATTTATCTTGTATTAATTCATCAATTGTATTATTCATCTTTAAATATTCAGTCAGATTAACCAATTAAGCCATCTGGTCCTGGACTCTTCTTTGTAGGAAGTTTTTTGATCACTAATTCAATATCTTTACTTTACTTATTGCTAATTGTTTGCCCCCGTATAAAAGGCTGTTGTCACTGGGCAAGCTTTATGTCAGGTCAAATAAAGATAAGCATTCTAGTGGGATTTTCAGAGAACTAGCAGACAGGTCAAATAAGGATACTATTGCTCTACAACTGTTCTGTCTCCTGTGGCTACTAGGCTGTCAATGTGATTCCCTGTGATTATGGAGCTGTTGGTTTCAGTACTGCTGTGGAGGAGGGGAGAGGAAGATCTGAACAGGAAAGGCTGCAGTGTCCTGAATCCCACTGTTCTTAACAAGATTCAACTGCTTTTCTTAAGTAAACACTTCCTAGATTATTATAAGCTTTTGGCTGATTTCCAGAATTCTGGAAAAGTTGATTATGACAATTTTCCACAGTTGTCTGTTTTTTTTTAGAGGAGAGGATTAGAAGCTCTTAGTCTGTCATTCCTAGTGACTTCATCTTTGTCTCATATTTTAAAGCTGTTTTCTGTGTCAGATTTTTTTCTTCTTAATCTTTTTTTCCCTTTCCTCTCTTCCTCTGTTATTTTTTTCTTTCAATTTATGTTGTTATTTTGGCAGTGGCTCAGGGGCAAAAAGCCATTAGTAGTACTGAGGACCAAGAAAGTTGTTTTATTTTTTATTTTTTTGAGATGGAGTCTCACTCTGTTGCCCAGGCTGGAGTGCAGTGGCGTGATCTCGTCTCATTGCAACCTCTGCCTCCCATGTTCAAGCAATTCTCGTGCCTCAGCCTCCCCGGTAACTGGGACTACAGGCATGTGCCACCACGCCCTGCTAATGTGTGTATTTTTAGTAGAGATATGTTCACCATGTTGGCCAGGCTGGTCTCAAACTCCTGGTCTTAAGTGGTCGGTCTGCCTCCACCTCCCATAGTGCTGGGATTACAGGCGTGAGCCACCACACCTGGCCCAAGAAAGTTGTTTTAAATTAAGGAAGTCCAATAGTTACAAAAAAGCACTCTTAGATGACAAATTTTGTTTTAAATAAGAAAGCATAAGAGCATTATTTCCCCACCCTTTATATATTAAGTGTGATGCTGAGATTTGACTTTTCCCTCTTTGTATTAGCTTGAGAAGTGTTTTTCTAACAACATGGGAGATTATAAACAAGTCAGGCATTCTAGTGGGCTTCTAGACTGAAATGATCAATTTAAGTTGGCCATTTTATGGTCCTAGTGTGAGATCAAGACATTTTGGTGTAATTTTGTCAGCTTTCTACCTAAAAAATAGAAATATATTTTGATGTATTTACTTTTTATTATGGTTGCCCTTTCAACATTTAGAAAATAATCTTAAATCTCTTTTCTAGTGTACTAATTACTTCAAATTTTTTTTTTACTTAAATCTCTTTTCTAGTGTACTAATTACTTCAAATTTTTTTTTCTAGGTATAATGTATACAAAGAAAAAGTGATGCTTGTTTTCTTTCTTTTTTTAGAATCTCAAAATGTAGATTTTATTTGTAGTGTTCTTGTGGTGGCTGATCAACTTCTCATAACCCGGTTGAAAGAGATTTGTGAAGTAGCATTAACTGAAAAACGTGAGTAATTTTGAGTTTGAATATTAATATGTTTTCAGGTTCATCAAGGATTACTGTACTTTATTGACTTTATGATTCCACTTATGGTAAAATAGACCATTTTTTTGGTACCACGAAAACCTGCCAAAATATGTAAATTATTACATGCCATCATTTGTAAGTGAATTCTTATTTTAGAAATATGTGAAAATATATATGACTTAGAATTGAAATGTAATATTTGTATTGAAATGTCATAAAACCTTGAAGAATAAAGATGGTGTCAGATTTATTTGCTAATTTCAAGGGTGAGAGTTTAAAAGTGAAATTTTTGTACTCTTGCCCTGATCTTGGCTTTAGGTGTTTTTAGCTACCCATTTTCTACTATTTGCAGTGATTTTAAAAATTTAACTTTCCCATTATATATCTGAACAAAGCACATCTCTTTTTTTCTTGAACTCTTCTTTCTTGCTCTCTTCATTATCTTAGTTAATTTCATGGCTATCCTCCTGAACACTGTACTTTGAAATCCAAAATGAGTTTTTCTTTATTATTTTGGCCCTGACACTCAAATTCATTCAGTTGTCAAAACTTATTCCTTTTAACTATGTTGGTCACATTTCCCCTACCTTTGGGTTCTCACTGTTACTATGCAGTTGAGGTCACTGTTATCTGTTCCTTCTGGGTAGTGTCACAGTAGTGTTTTAAATGCTCTTTCTCCTGTCTACTTCTGTTTCTTTAAGCTTTCTGTAGGAAGTAGTTACATCTTCCCCCTGTTTACATATTTATAATTGCTTACTCTAGAATAAAGGTTAACTTTCCTTAGCTTCCACCTGACAGCCTTTTTGACTTTCTAATCTTATATCTGTTCTGCTTTACTGCTACTTCAAGAAGTGTGAAGGGAATTCCTGTCCATTTTTTCTAGTTCATACTTGCTAGGAGTTTGTCTTGGCTTTGGCATTTTAGTTCTCACTTTTCTTGAGCACTGTAGACTGTCTACTCCTTGGTTATTAAATAGAGAACAACAGCCCTGATCTCCTTTTAAGCAAGAAAAGAAAAATATTCTAAAATAAAGGACACAGCATACAACAGGTATAAGACATACATATAAGTGATATTTTACACTTGTACAGTTGCCTTTGCTGGTCTTCTTCCTCAGTGTTCTTTCATGGCTCTGGCTGCACAGTTGCCTTTATTAATTCCTTGATGTTCCTAGAACCTAGGAAAAGGAGGCTACCACCTCCTTTGGTCTCTGATTATTAGGAATATGTGGATACTTGTTCCCATGTGAACAACTCTAAAGAAGTTTTTATATGATCTAATTTTATCATTTCTTCAATTTCTCTGTTCATCATTAGTTGAAAATGTAGATTAGTCAGGAGTGAGACAGAGACCATTATTGACTGCAGTTGCAACTTTTGATAGAATCACAGGTGAGAAAGAAAAAGAAATGCAAGAAGCCAGATGTAGAAAACAACTGTGTTTCCCTATTGGCTGGTACTGATAGAGTAATTAAGAAAAATAGTGGAGGGAACAGGAAGCTGAAAGTTACCTGTTATGTAGGTAGAATATTCTGGGAGAGTCTCTAGGAAAATGGGTACTTTATATATAATGTTACTACAATTGTAACTAAATCCAGAATCTTTTGCACAGTATATCAGATTTTTCACTGGTGTGAAGAATATTATGATAAGATTGTGATGTACGTATTTTCAAAATATGTATATATTTATATACTTACATGTATATATATACACCCACATGAATTCTGATAGATAACTCAATATATTTTATAGAATTATTTCATCAGTTTTTCTTAGTTTTATATCTTTTTTAGTTTTATGGAAGAGGGAATAACTGCTATGTAAATGGAAAGGAAAGTTGTTCATTAATAAAAGCTTTTTAAAAATATTCAGAAAATGTTAGGTGGAAGATTGTCAGTTCTTATGTGTTTGCTTTTGGGTGGCACTATGCCCCTTCTGTATTCTGTTTTGCTTAGAATATGCTTGTGTGTGAGCTTATTTTTCCTCATAGCCAATCTTTTGAAATTACTTTGGCATATTGGGATGGAAGAGTTACATATTTGCCCCAGTATTAACTTATTTTTGGCAAGAAACTTTTTTTTCTTTATTCCAAATGTTCAAATCGTACAGCTTTAGACATAAATGTATTTTATTTTGCTGTGGTAATGTGCCTTTTATCTAATTTTGCAAATCTTTTCTTTCTTTGTAGTTACCCTGAAGAATGCTGCTATGCTACTGGAATTTGCAGCAATGTATAGTGCAAAACAGTTGAAACTGTCTTGTTTACAGTTTATAGGATTGAATATGGCAGCTTTACTTGAAGCAAGGTAGGTGAGGTGCATATGTTGTAAGATTGTTGCAAAAGGAGATATTTATATATAATAGCAGATATTATTAGTGATTTAAATGTGAATAATGATGTTTACCTGGATGGAAAGAATTTGATCAATGCTGATGATTTAGAAGTTATGTACATTTTAGAATTAGAGAGCTCTTGAAAACTTTTGAATGTTTTTAACAGTGATCTTTTTAAAATGAAATAAATGTATACTTTTTTAAAAATATAAGGTCAAAATATTTTACTTCCTATAAAGTCATTGGTGACAATATGAGAACACAGAAATTTGAGATTAGAGTTCCTGGTGTCAGTTTTTATTTTAAAGCTTCATTGTTTAGTTTATTTTTATATTTTACTTCAGTAGTAATGACTATTAACTATGTGCTAGACGGTGTTCTAAAAGCATTACATAGATTCATTTAGTTAATTTTTATGAAACTCTTATGAAGTAGAGAAGATTCTTTGTACATTTATTTATAATAGTTGCTTGAGGCCGGGTGTGGTGGCTTATGCTTGTAATCCCAGCACTTTGGGAGGCTGAGGCAGGTGGATCGCCTGAGGTCAGGAGTTCAAGACCGGCCTGGCCAAGATGGTGAAACCCTATCTCTAATAAAAATACAAAAATTAGCCGAGCGTGATTGTGTGTGCCTGGTAGTCTCAGCCACTTGGGAGGGTGTGAAGCAGGAGAATCACTTGAACCCAGGAGGCAGCAGTTGCAGTGAGCTGAGATTGCACCACTGCACTCCAGCCTGGGTGACAGAGTGAGACTCCATCTCAAAAAAAGAAAAAAAAAAAGAGTTGCTTGAGTTTTATTCAAGATATTTGTGTAATATGTTTGCTTTGCTGTTTATTTGAAATATGTAATATACAACCACATCTATTTCCAAAAGGAATTTGTAGCAACTGCTATATATAATGCTTAAAAAATAACTTTGTTACTTATCTAGCAATATGAAATATCTACGTATGTAAGCAACTTGACAGTTATCAAGTCACTTGAATCTTAAGATAGAATTTTGTATCCTATATTTTAGGTCTCTTGATGTTTTAAGCGATGGTGTTTTGAAGGATCTTTCTGAGTTTTACCGGAAAATGGTAAGGTTTATGTTTTAAGATTTTCGCGGCTATAATATTACCAGCTTAAGCAGTATATTAGATCAGACTTATTAATGGAATAGTTTCCTAATGACTTCTAGTACATTAGGATCTTTTAAAACTGATGATATAGGATTCCTTTACAGATCTCACAGATACATATGATAATCAGAATTCAAGATACTTAATAATAAAGTTAATATTTATTAATTTCTTTATAAATGAAAGTTACTGAAAGCCTCAGAGTAAGTCTTTTGTTATTTACCAGAGGTCAGGACCGTGCAAAAACATGAATTCATATGATCCCTAAGAAATGAATAAATCTATCTTTAATAATAAAGTGGAGCTTTTTCTCAAGTTTCCTTTTTGGCAGGTTTATGGAATAAAGTTTTTATTGAATTGAATCAAAATTTAACCCCCTCTTGTAAATTTAGGAAGTTATTGAGTATTCAAGGCTGTTCTAGTTAATGTCACCACATATTAAAAATGGAATATCTTACATAATTTAAAAAACATCTTTAGGCTGGGTGTGGTGGCTTATGCCTGTAATCCTAGCATTTTGGGAGGCCAAGATGGGAGGTTTGCTTGGGGCCAGGTGTTCCAAACAGCCTGGCCAACATGGCAAGAGCCACGTGTGCACAAAAAAAAAAAAAAAAAAAAAAAAAAAACTTCACAGATTTTGTATTTGAAAAGTGATATCTTCAATTCTGCAGATTCCAGCAATGGATAGAAGAGTCATTACACCATATCAAGATGGACCAGATATTAGCTATTTGGAAGTAGAAGATGGAGATATCTTCTTGAAAGAAGAAATAAATATGGAACAAAATCATTCGTAAGCTGTTTTCTTTTTTTTTTTTCTTTTCCTCCTTTTCTTCCTTCTTTTCTCCAGTGTGTCCCTTCACTCTCATCTTGGACATATGACACTTTTGTGTTGGTATTGGAAGATGAAATTGAGAAATTCTGACATAAGAAATAGGTAGTTACGCTCATTCTTAACCTTGGTATAATACAAAGTAAATACATAATTAATATCTGTAGGTCTAACACATTGAAAGTGTAAATATTTTAAAAAGTAGCCTTCAGGTTAAACATGTTGGGTTAAATAAGTGCATTTATCTTAGTTACCTCCCTAAACACTGCTGAAATTATGTTTGCTTTTTCCTAGGGAAACTATGTTCAAGAAAGCAAAAACAAAAGCTAAAAAGAAGCCACGTAAACGTTCAGATAGTTCTGGAGGTTATAACCTTTCAGATATTATTCAGAGTCCATCATCTACAGGTTCGTGGAAAGTGAGCATGTATTTCCAGTTCTAATCTTCTATGTCTCTATTCACATATGTCATCTGCTGGGGCTACTGAAATAAACAGTCCTTATGGAGGTACCAAAAGTGATAGTTTATTGTAAGTACTCCAGTTGAAGTTTGCTCTGGGAGCACAAAAGAGGTACTCAAACTAATCTGAGATCAGGGAAGTCCTCTTAGAGGAAAGCAATGCTGAGCTGAGTCTTGAAGAATGAAGTTATCTAAGAAAAGGAGGCAGATAGGTATATTAAGCAAAGGGGGCAATGTGTTCCCAAGCTTAGTAGCAAGAGAAAGAGTTGCACATTTCTTGTGCATATAGTTCAGTATAGGAGATAGGTTGGATAGGGTCAGATTTTGGAGGCTCTTATATGCCAAACTAAGGAATTTGTGTTTTATTCTAAAGGCTATGGGTGGCTGTTGATGATTTAAAACAGGATGTGACTGGATGAGATTTGTTTTTAGAAAGACTACTCTTTCCAGTGGCATAGGGGTTTAGAGGTTGGCAAAACATGACAGAGATAACTATTATCATGTTGATTCAATTTAAATATGTCAGTACTCCAAGTAAGATGCCATTCATATGCATAAGGGGGTTGTAATCTGGTAGTAGAATATAAAATGTATTTAGGCATTATGTGAGCCTGTTTGAAAGTAAAGGTCAGGTTATGTAGTTTTTCTAAAATATTTTTCCCCAGTTTTTTCTTTTGAGAATATTTAACTTACTGAAAAGATGAAAGAAAAATACCATGAACACCTATGTACATTTTATTCAGATTTATTGTTAACTTCTCATCACATTTGCATTTTCTTGCAGACTCTTTGTTGCTTACTGTCTCCTCTTTCCTCCATGTGTTACACACACACACAAACACACACACACACAATACAGAGACTTAAAAAAAAATTGTTCCACTTGGAATAAGTTGTAGACATGATACTTTTCCCCCGAATACTTGAATATGAATCTTTTAAGATGGGAATACTCTTCTACACAACCACAATACCATTATCATACCTGAGACAATTGACATTAATTAGTGTTAATTAGTATTATACTTCATATCCACATTTTCCTAATTGTTGACAAATGTTTTTATAGTCTTTTTTTTTTAACATTAACAAAAAAACTAGTATTCTATCAAGGTTCATATTATCTTTGCTTATTAGTATCTCTTTAGTCTCTTCTAACTAGTATAAAACTGCTGTACTTTTTTGTTTTTTGTTTTCTCTTTTCCAAAAGGTCAGTCCAATTGTGTTATAGACTGTCTCACATTCTAGATTCATCTGATCTAGATTAAACTATATACGTTTTAGTAGTTTCTTTAGATAAAACATGAATTGTGACTATAAAATAATGAGACTACAGTATGGCTTTCAGAAATGGTAGGTTACTCTTGTCTATAGCACTAAGGCATAACCTAGTACAGTTTCTGCTAACAGTACTTCATAGTCAATCAGCTGTATACAAACAACTTTGAAAAATAGAAGAGTACATTGTTTTGTGTCCCTTTGGAAAAAAAAGCTTGTTAGGCAGGGCAAAGAAGAAGGATTTTTTTTTTATGTTTACTGAGATGCTTCAAATTAGGTGCTTGATATGTTCACTAAAGCTCAAAGGAATAATGTCAAGAATAGTTTTAGATAACATAAAGATAAAAAAAGGATAGATAATATGCCTAAAATTTATTTATGAAGCAATGAAAATAGGAATCAGGAGACCTAGTAAATGGGAAAGCTATTATCTTAGGACTTTTCTAAATTTAAAATTCTGTGACTCTGTGTTCTCTGTGTTGTATGAATTACCGTTAGTGTTTAGAAGGAGGCAGGGGTGGATTGATGGAAGGATGAATAATGGATAGACAGTCTTGAAAGTAATGACTTTCCAGTCACCTAAATGACTTATGGAAAAGCAGATATTTGGTTTGTTTTAAATAATGTTATTGTTACCATATGTGTTAGAATCTTAGAATTTCAGAGCTAGAAGAGACATTAGTAATGAAATAATTTATGTCCCTTACTTTAAACCTAAGGAAAGAAGCTCAAAAAACATAAGTGATTTGAAGTAGTGACCAAAAGAAATAAAATTTGTTCTCTTGATTCCAGGTCCGTATTTTCCTGGTGTACTGTTCTTTCTGTGGCCAGGATATCTGTAGTCAAAGATAACTAAAAGGTCAGATTTAATTGGAGGCCAAAAAGACCTGTTAAGGAAGAAAATTTGAGTATGAGGCCAATTTCATCAAAGACAGTTGCGTAAAAGCTTAACATCTGTGTCGATCTTAAAGTTAGACAAACGGCATTCAGCAAAACTGTTTTTGACCAGAAGTAATTGTTGGCCACATTAATTGTCCTCTTTTTTTCTGGATTTATTTCTAACTGACTTTTGAGAGTGTTCTAATATTAGATGTATTCTCTTCGATGAAAATTTGCCAGCCTTAAAAATATTCAAAAAGAGGCAAGACGCAGTGGCTCCTGCCTGTAATCCCAGCACTTTGGGAGGCCAAGGCGGGCGGACCACAAAATCAGGAGCTCCAGACCAGCCTGGCCAATATGGTGAAACGCTGTCTCTAGTAAAAATACAAAAAAAATTAGCCGGGCATGGTGGTGCATGCCTGTAATCCTAGCTACTTGGAAGGCTGAGGCAGGAGAAACACTTGAACCTGGAGGTGGAGGTTGCAGTGAGCTGAGATCATGCCACCGCACTCCAGCCTGGGCAATAGAGTAAGACTCTGTCTCAAAAAAAAAAAAAAATTCAAAAAGATTGTGTGGCAAAAAAAATGTTTAAATGTTCTTTCCAAATTGTAGTGATAACAATAAAAGAAACATTTAGCTTGTTAAGGTGATTTACTTTAAAGAGAACAATGTATAAGAGATGGTAGGTTTTATTTTTAAATCAATTATACAGCTTTTAGTTACAAGTTAGATAACATCTTTATTTTATAGCTTATTTTGGTACTTCATTTAGATTCTAATAAATTTGAAATGTGTGGAAATGGACATGTGAATCTAAGCAAAAGTTTGAACCTGGATACCAGGTGTGGCATGAGGCCAGGCATTTAGCTTGCCTAAGAGAAGAAATGATATATACATTTCACAACAACCCTCTTGCTTCAAGCGAGCTCTCAATAGCCAGAGATTTCAGGGAAAAACACACTTCAAACAGGCCACAGTTGTCTTCTGCGGGAGCCTCTGCTATGGGGTCAGTCAGCTGGCTAAGTGAGAGGCAAAAAGGCCACAGGGTTCCTCCCACATAGAATGAAGCTACCCCCTTGCTTGGGTGCGGAGACCACTGTACCAAGAGACAGATGAGAAAGGGAAAAGAGGTCTGGATTTTAATTATTTTCCCTTTCTCCTTTGTCTCTTATGCGGACAAAAATATTTTAAATCACTTTTTAGAGCAGATCCCAAAGAACTATCTTCCTCAGGTTCATTACACAATTGGTGTGTGATTGTAATGAATAAAATTATTGTTTTAGAATCTCTTCCATTTCAGTTTTTCACTTAAACTGATTTCTTTCTCCAGTTAACTTGAATTATTAAGATTTTTATACCATAAATATAATTTGAATGTTATTAAATCTGGATAAATGAAAGCTTTTTTAGCTCTCTGGTTCATGGAATGTAATGCATATATGTTTAATGCATATGTGTTTAATTTTTTTTAATTTCATGTTTTAGGATTATTAAAGTCTGGTAAGACCAATTCTGTGGAATCTCTTCCAGAACTGTTGACATCAGACTCTGAAGGAAGCTATGCAGGAGTGGGTAGTCCTAGAGATTTACAGTCCCCTGATTTCACAACAGGATTTCATTCAGATAAGATTGAGGTTTGTTTTTTGAAGCACTACCTCCTTACCTTCAGATTTTAGATTTATAGATGGTTTATCTTTAATATTTCCTTATTTTTGCCCTAATTTTAAAACAGTTTCCAGGTTGGTATATAAGAATCACAAATATAGTGTTAGTTTTCTTAAATTTGCACAACATTTCTATTTTTAGAGATTGTAATGGCAGTTTTGAGCCCTTTATGATGTTATTTCTAGTCTTTGTGCAACTAAAATATAATGTTGATGTAAAATATAATAACACTATAGACATGTTGAAAAAATATATTTGTAGCTAAATTATTGAAATTTATCTTGTGAAATGTCAGTTAACATCAGTTAAAAATTGTCAAGGCAAATGATTTCGAAAATAAGCCTACTTTGAAAGTTCGCAGTCTCTTTCCTCCAGGGTATTAACTGGAGCAAAACAATTTGGAAATGATTTGAGTTCTTCTCCTAATCTAGCACATTAAGCTGCAGGATTCCTAGCCTAATCAGCTCTGGGGAGGGCATTTCTTAGACACTCCTTAACATTTGATTCCATAGCTGTTAACCTATTAGAGAAAAATGTGTAACTGAATAGAGATAGAGTCACTTTTCTGTAACTCCTACACATCCACAAAACGTATCGGAACTTCTAGGAATTCATAAGACAACAGAAGTTTACCCTTTCTTCTTAGAGTCTTTTAGGCCTCAAGGATTGATTTGATTTTTTTTTTTGAGACAGGGTCTCTCACTCTGGTTGCCTAGGCTGGAGTGCAGTGGTATAGTATCAGCTCACTGCAGCTTTGATTTCCCGGGCTTAGGTGATTCTCCCACCTAAGCCGGCAGAGTAACTGGGATTATAAGCACGCACCATCACGTCCAGCTAATTTTTTTATATTTTTAGTAGAGATGGGGTTTTGCCGTGTTGCTCAGGCTGGTCTCGAACTCCTGGACTCAAGCAATCCACCCACTTCAGCCTCCTAGAGTCCTGGCATTACAGATGTGAGCAACCACACCCCGCCAGGATTGATTTTTTTTAAAATATAGGATAGAAGTTTGGGGGCAATTTATATTCACACTAAGGTTGGTCTGTAAGACAATTGAGGTTTAAAGGAAGGCTCAGGGTATATTGTGAGTGATTTACAATAACAGAAGAATCTATCCTGGAAATAGACATATCATTTTAATAACTTCCTTGACATATTACAATAGCAGTAGTTTTAGGGTTCCTTTCAAGGTGTCAGTATTATTTGACTTTAATTTTATTCACAGTACTTTACATCAGAGTGAATTATATGACATTTATACAAAACTTTCATTTTGTTTCATATTCAAGCCATGGATATTAATTTTAAAATTACTGCTTCATGTCTTATTTGTACAACTTTTATATATTACATGTTAACTATTTGTGTAGAGATTTAATATGCAAACTAGTTTCCCTAAAAATTATTTTCAAAGCTCATAATAATTCAGTTATAGTCAATAATGTGATTTGAGAGTTGGCTAAGGCACAAAACTGTAGAAGAACATGATTTGAAAATACTAGATGGCTTATTGTCATAAGATTTTATTCTTCATTATAATGTAACTAATATTTATTAAGTACCAGCTATGTGTTAGTTACTGTTCTAGGTGCCTGTTAACTTTTTTTATTTTTTTTCTCTCCCCAGGCGAAAGTCAAACCGTATGTTAATGGTACATCTCCTGTGTATTCTAGGGAAGATTTAAAACCATGGGAAAAGTCACCAATACTTAAAATATCTGCTCCACAGCCTATTCCCAGTAACAGAATTGATACTACCAGCTCTGCCAGTTGGGTTGCTGGTTCTTTCAGGTAGGATTTTTATTTTATTCTATAACTGTTAGTTTGAGAAATGTCATTCATTTTTAATGCAATTTAATTTTTTAATGATGAACATTTAAGAAATATTAATATAAATTTCTAATGCACAGAAAATTGCCTAAATACCTACAAATTGCTAACCAGCTATAATAGGCTTCCCCCCCAACCAACCCCAGGCAAAATTTAGTTGCCTTTGTATTATCATCAGTGAATAGTAGCAAATACTATGTTTTACGTATATAGAGAGAAACTTAGTATCAGTAGTTATTTCTTAGATAATATGTATTGGTTAAAAATGCTGCACAGGAAGACAATTTTGTCAATCATAGACTTTATCTCTTAGAGCATGTGAAGGGGTATTTAAAATTTCACAAAATGTGTAACTATTCAGTTAATTTTCAGAGGATATTAATTTAATGTTATACTATCCTTTTAACTTGCCTATATTATATATATATTTTTTCATTTATTTAGAAAAGTCAAATGAAGGCTGGGCATGGTGGCTCATGCCTGTAATCCTAGCACTTTGGGAGGCTGAGGTGGGTGGATTACCTGAGCTCAGGAGTTCGACACTAGCCTGGGCAACATGGTGAAACCCCATCTCTACTAAAATACAAAAAATTAGCCAGGCGTGGTGGTACGCACTTGTAATCCGAGCTACTTGGGAGGCTGAGGTGGGAGAATCGTTTGAACCCGGGAGGCGGAGGTTACAGTGAGCCCAGATCGCGCCACTGCACTCCAGCCTGGGCAACAGAGCAAGACTCCATCTCAAAAAAAAGAAAAAGAAAAGTTAAATGAGTAGCAGATGTAATTAGAATGTAGTATTCTTTCAAAATGTTAATTAAGCTTGTGCTTCATGTTTATATGCCTACAATGGTTGATAAAGTCTAAAACTGTTAATTGACATATTATCATCTGGACTGTTTAATTCTTTTGAAATAGGCTATATTTTGCAGAGTTGGAACAAAGATTATGATGTTCCATTTTATGTGCTTCATGGTTTAAACTTTAGTTCAGAAATTAGTTTCAATTTTTTTTTTTGCATAAGTACACAAATTGGTAAATATTTAATATGTGGGAACATCTGGAAACATCTTCTGATTGCTAATGTTAGGATATTTTGTTAAACATGTTTTAAAAATACCCTGGTCTACAAGATAGATTAGGCTATTTCAGTACTATGCTCATTGACAAAATGCATAGCAATAGGCAATAAACATTCTCAATATTGACATATACACAAACATTTCTACATTCATTTTGTAGTATTGCCTAGTGTAAATAATAAGTAGAATTTGTTTTTGATGAAAGAAAAAAAGTACAGGAAACAGGTTCCCTTTAATATGAAGTAATATGACTTTTTTTTTTTTTTTTGAGACAGTCTTGCTCTGTTGCCCAGGCTGGAGTGCGGTGGCACGATCTCGGCTCACCGCAACCTCTGCCTCCTGGGTTCAAACGATTCTCCTGCCTCAACCTCCCGAGTAGCTGGGACTACAGGCGCGTGC
Source organism: Homo sapiens (assembly GCF_000001405.40). Classification (NCBI taxonomy): domain Eukaryota; kingdom Metazoa; phylum Chordata; class Mammalia; order Primates; family Hominidae; genus Homo; species Homo sapiens. Next base: position 52,576 of record NW_013171802.1, on the reverse strand, counting down.
CACCATGCTCAGCCAATTTTTGTATTTTTAGTAGAGATGAGGGTTCACCATGTTGGCCAGACTGGTCTTGAATTCCTGATCTTGTGATCCGCCCACCTCGGCCTCCCAAAGTGCTGGGATTTCAGGTGTGAGCCACTGTGCCTGACTGACTTATTTTTATCTGTAGTGTAGATTTCATTTAGGTCGAAAATCATCTATTTCTTTTTTTTTTTTTTTTGAGACAGAGTTTCGCCCTCATTGCCCAGGCTGTAGTGCAGTGGTATGATCTCAGCTCACTGCAACCTCTGCCTCCCAGGTTCAAGCGGTTCTCCTGCCTCAGCCTCCCTAGTAGCTGGGATTACAGGCGCCTGCCACCACCCCTGACTAATGTTTATATTTTTAGTAGTGACGGGATTCCACCACATAGGCCAGGCTGGTCTCGAACTCCTGACCTCAGGTGATCCACCCGCCTCGGCCTCCCAAAGTACTGGGATTACAGGCTTGAGCCACCACACCTGGCCAGAAATCATCTATTTCTAATGATTGTAGAATTTTGTCATTATGGTATAACTTCCTCTGGTGGGTCTCCAATATTATTTAGTATCCCCAAGTTTTTCTATTAAATGTTTGTTTTTGTTAATATTAAACAGTAGAATGAGTTTTGTTTGTTAAAAATAGAAAGGAAAGAATGTAATTTTCAAGCTTCATTTAACCTAAAGGTAAGAATTTAATTAGAACTTTGGTGAGTTTTTCTGCCTAATTTAGTTAAGAATCTTTCTATTGCTTCACTTTTTTTAAAAAATGTTTTTTTAAATATAGGAATTTCAGTTATATCACAACATTATGACTTTGGATACATATTAGTTGTTATTTGTATATGTGCTATATCACTTAACATTTTGGATATATATTAGTTAATATTTATATATGTGTATATAAAAGTAGCTTTTATTCAAAATATCCTTTATGAAACTGGCTCACAGCTGATAAATCTAAATTATACTCTGATTATTAATCTCACATATCACTTATCATTTCAGTGAAGTTGGGGGTTGGGCTTTATAGGTAAATGAATGCTTTGCAAAGTAACCTTTTATGTCTTTTAGTCCTGTCAGCCCTCCTGTTGTGGATCTCAGAACTATCATGGAAATAGAAGAAAGTAGACAAAAATGTGGAGCTACACCAAAGTCACATTTAGGGTGGGTTGAAAACATTACAAAAGATCATTTCATGTTGTATTTCTGCCCTAAGAATTGGACAGACTTACTGCATCTTTCTTATTATTTTTCTGCATTTGATGTTATAGTTAATTATACATCCTTTTCTGGGCAATTTAGCCTCCATAATATTATTTCTTAAATATGTGCTAAAGATAGAGTTGAGTTGATAATCCAGCTCTTGTAGAATACAGTATTACATCCCAGAAACTTGACTCTAAAATGATCATTGTGGACTATTGGCTACAAAAGCCAAAGAGTTAAGGCTTGTGATGCAAGTTCTTTTTGAAATTTGTGATATGTTGGAGGGCTCATATGTAGCTATTACTTGATCATTGTTAGTATAAACTGATATTTTCATTGTTGAAACTTGTGAGCATTTTGATCCAATAATGGTAAAATAACATGAAATAAATAGAAAACATTATTATTACCAGTAACCTTTATTAAGCAGAAATTAATGTTAATTGATATAATTTCTAGCAAAATGATTTCTCATGGAATTAAACTTTGTCAGAAGAAACCACTGAAACTAATTGGTTTAATTTCTAGCAAAACAGTTTCTCATGGAGTTAAACTTTCTCAGAAGCAACGAAAAATGATTGCATTGACTACCAAGGAAAACAATTCAGGAATGAATAGCATGGAAACAGTTTTATTCACTCCTTCAAAAGCCCCCAAACCAGTGAATGCATGGTATGCTCTTATTTTTATTAAAATTAATATAGATTTGTGCATTTGCTTTTAAGGTAGTACTTGACTTTGGAGTTCCTTCCCACTTCCAGTGTTTCTAAAGTCTTTTCAAGTATTTTATCTCCCCTTCTGTTTTCAAGTTAAAAATTGGAACTTGGGAAACAAACACTTTTTTTGTTGTTGTTTATTTTCTTTTAATTTGGGGTGTTTTGACATACAAGTCATGATGACACACATCATCATACACATCAAAATGTGGATATATTTTTCATATATAGATATAATTTCTTCTTGATATTCTAATTAGATTTTCTTGCTAAAGTGATTTAAAATTTATTTTTATTTTTTATAAGAAATTAAATACATCAGACACATATAAAAAGAAAACTTTATTTATACTACGCTAATTTCTTTGTCCTTCTGCATGCTCCATAAATATCTTTACATGGTTATAATCATAGCTTGTTATTTTTCACTTTTTAAAACACTGCTCCTTACTTAATGTTGTGTTTACATTTTCTCCATTGGAATTTACACATAGTGGCAGCATTGGAATAACCTCCAAAGAGGTCAGATATAATTTTGAGATATGTAAAATAGGTTGTACTCCAGCTTCCGTTCCATCCTTCCTTTTCTTGTAACTTAAAATATCTGGAAACCAATACTGGAGAACTACATGGAGAATGTGAAGCCTTACGAAGAAATCAGTAGAACTCTCTTTCTCTCACAAGGACTGGGGAGGATCTTGGCAGCTACCCATGGTTTAGGGGAATCCTTTCAATGTTTCTAAGGCCACATTATTCTGTTTGTAAGAAGGAATATTTTTCTCAATTAAAATGTTAATTATTTTGAAGAAAGTGGCAAATAATTTTATTCTAAATGTTACCAATGGAACTAAATCAGTGCTTGTTAGGGCTATTAGTAGGTCCAAAGCATGGTTACTGAAAAAGAAAGTAAAATAAGAGGTAAGAACACCCAAGGAAAAGAGAAAAGAGGGTAAAACTGGAGAGGATGAGCTTAGCAGAATTTTAAAATTTATCAGTATTTGTTAAGCACCTTCTAAATGTAAGGGACTGTGCTAGTTTCTGATGATAAGGCAATGAACAAGACAGATTTGACTGTTACCCTTGTAGGGTTTATGATATGACTGCTGCAATACTGAGTTGTGCTTTCTTTAAACAAAGGTATGGAAAATCCAAAAAGGGGGAAAAGTTATTGGAACCACTGTCAAGTACTAAATTGCAGTTTGAGAGAATTAACTAAGCTCATGATGAAGCTTTGGACTTGGTAATATAGCTGTAAGCATGCCATCAATCATTTTCCTTAAGCAAAAAGTGAACGAGTGAAAGTTGTTTCACTTATTTTTTTGGAGGCATATTCCTTAGAGTCCTGTGCTCTTTTGTGATCTGAACCGGGTCTTTTCCAGGCATGCTGAATATCTGTCATCTTGAGATTTTCTTTAACTGTTGTCTTGCAGGTCTTCCCTTCTCTCCAGTGTTTGATCCCCAGTTTTCTTGATCCTGTGGTTTTCTATTTCTTGATACACTCCTTGTTTTGATGTAGCACAACTCCAGTAGGTTTCTGATAAAGGATGTATAAGACATATATTTTTGGAGCTCGTATATTCATGAAAATGTTTTTATTCTAGCCTTCATTCTTCTTGACTGATAGATGGGAACGGGATTCTAAATTGGAAATCATTTGGAGAATTTATTCAATGCCATTTAATTCCTAAATCTTCTTATGTTACCTCCTGTTTTCTTCTCCACTTTTTTTTTCCCTGAAAGTTTACAGGATCTTTTCTTTATCTCTAATGTTCTGAAATTTTACAGTAATGTATCATAATGTAGGTCTTTTTTGATACATCCTGGGTACTTGGGCTCTTTTAATTGGCAACAGCATGTCTTTAAGTTCTAGGGAAATCTTATGTAATATTAATATTACTTTGATACTTTTCCTCCTCACTGTTTTCTCTACAAATCACATTAGTCAGATATTGGTCCCCCTAGGCTTCTCTAAATTTCTTACTTTTTCTTCTTTTTTTTTGAGATGGAGTCTCACCCTGTTGTTCAGGTTTGAGTGCAGTGGTGCGATCTTGGTTCACTGCAACCTCCGCCTCCTAGGTTCAAGCGATTCTTCTGTCTCAGCCTCCTGAATAGCTAGGATTACAGATGCCTACCACCACACCCGGCTAATTTTTGTATTTTTAGTAGAAACATGGTTTCACCATGTTGGCAAGGCTGGTCTCGAACTCCTGACCTCAAGTGATCTGCCTGCCTCAGCCTCCCAAAGTACTGGAATTACAGGTGTGAGCCACTACACTTTTTCTTTTCTATTGTCCACATATATGCCTTTTAATTCTACTTTCTGGAACATTTGCCTGACTTTTTCCAATCATTAAAATCTTTATCAAGAGCTTTTTTTGGTTTGTTTGTTGATGATACCTTTTTCTATAGTATTGTTTTAATATTCTAATGTTGAAGATCTCTGTACTCTGTAGGCATTTTCACTCTTTAGTATATACCCAACAGAAACACACACGTATGTACCACGCAACAAGTATAAGAATGTTCATAATTTATTATCTGTAATAGCCCAAACTGAAAACAATCTAGATGTCTATCAGCAGTCAGTGGATAAATTAATTTATTTTTATAGTAGAATACTACAGAGTAATGAAAAAGAATAAATCATGACTAAATACAACAGTGTGGATGAATCTTACCAATATGATATTGAACAAAATAAACCAATCAACCAAAAAAAAGAAAGCTAAAAATAGCCATTGATTTACATCCATGTTTTATTCATTCTACTCTATATGTGTTTTATTTTATTTCATTTTGTCAATTTATTGATTGATTGTTTTCTCTTAAGTTCTGACTGGAAGCTCTGTGTGCCTATGTTGTACAAATAGACTGATAGGTGTGACTATAGGGTAACGTATCAGATTCCTTAGGGACCCCTGAATCTCCCCATATGTTGGTTATCTCCATATCTTTTCTCCTTGGTCTCTTTAGTCTGTCAGTTTTTCTAAAGAGCAGCCTTTTAATTTTTTTTTGCTGTTAAGGTGTACATTTTGTTGCTAGCATTCTGGAAGCGTATCTCAGTGTAGGGAGGTTAGAGCTGGGACTGAACTTGTCACCATTTGTAATAGGTTTTCACATTTAGTGTATAGACTTTGTACACAACAGTTCACTCCCGCCATCCTCTATTACTAGTGACTTTGAATCAAATTTTCCTTCTGCCAGAGTAAAGGAGATGTAGTAATATGACCATATGGAGATAGGGAGTACATCTGGCACTTTCAGCCCCTCCTTAAATAAACTGAAACAATTTTCATGCTCATGTCGACTTCAGGATTTGATACATACTCTGTCTCCAGTATATGCCCCTTTCCAGAGTTCTCAGCTTCCCTCTTTACTGTCACCCACCTGATGACTGCTAGTATTTCTTTTTGTCCACTCGGCGACATCAGTTTTTATCATTCCATCTCTTTTGCTATCCTTCAAAAATGTGTTGCTGTTTTTAGACTGCCATTGTCTTAATAGCTTATTATTTTTGCCCTTGTGGGTTTATACCTTTCTGATTACTTTGCTGTACACTTTAGGATTTCAGAGGAAGGTATTCAAGTGGTCATTTATCTGAAACTTCTGACTAATTTTCAAACATAGGAAAAATTTTTCCTTGGTAATAGCAACATGAGCTTAGAGTGCCACATTGAAGGGACTATCTATCCAAATTTTAAGAGTCTATTATGGCATATTAAGGAGAATTCTAGAAAGATGGGAAGAAAGATGCCATAAATTTTGACCAAAAACATAGGTTATTTTTCTTTGAAAAGAATTTGATAATTATCTGGCTGGGCATGATGGCTCATGCCTGTAATTCAAGCACTTTGGGAGGCCAAGGCAGGCAGATCACCTGAGGTCAGGAGTTTGAGACCAGCCTGGCCAACATGGAAAAACCCCGTCTCTACTAAAAATACAAAAATTAGCTGAGCATGGTGTTGCATGCCTGTAATCCCAGCTACTTGGGAGGCTGAGGCAGGAGAATCACTTGAACCTGGGAGGCAGAGGTTGCAGTGAGTTGAGATCATGCCACCACACTCCAGCCTGGGCAACAGAGCAAAAATCCTTCTCAAAAAAAAAAAAAAAAAAAAGAATTTGATAATTATCAAATACAAGTGATATTTGTTATACATTTATTTTATGAAAACATGATTGGAAAACTTAAGTACAAACATGAGTAATGAGTTTTATGTATCTTAGTACACTAAGAAAATTTATCTAACTGACCAATTATAGATAATTTAGATAATTATAGATGTTATGGGTAATCTGAATTTTTGAGAATTATAGATATTCTGAATTATTATCATCAAGGTGAGAGGTATCTGAATTGTCTACAATTAGTAATTTATGCTCTTTTTAAGACTATACAGGCATACTTTGGAGATACTGCAGGTTCGGTTCCAGACTACCTTAGTAAAGCAAACATCGCAATAAAGCAAGTCACAAGAAATTTTTGGTTTCCTGGTGCCTGTAAAAGTAATGTTTATACTATACGTAGTTTGCTAAGTGTGCAATAGCATAATATCTACAAAAAAAAACCTTAATGTAAAACTATTTTATTGCTAAAAAATGCTAATGGTCATCTGAACCTTCAGTGAATCATCTTTTTATGGTGGAGTATCTTGCCTTGATGTTGATGACTGCTGACTGATCAGGGTGGTGCTTTCGTCACTAAGCTTAATTATTTCTAGCTTTTGATTTAAAGTGAGAGACATGTGACTTTTTCTTTCACTTGAACACTTAGAGGCCACTGTAGGGTTATTAGTTGGTCTAATTTCAATATTGTTGTTTCTTAGGAAATAGGGAGGCCTAAGGAGGAGAGGGAGAGAGATGGGAGAACTGCCAATTGGTGTAACAGTCAGAAAACAAACATTTATCAATTAAGCTTGCCAACTTGTATGGATGTGGTTCATGGTGCTCCAAAACAATTATAATAGTAACATCAAAGATCAAGATCACCGTAACAGATATAATAATAATGAAAAAGTTTGAAATACCAGGAGAAATACCAAAATATGACACAGAGACACAAAGTGAGCATGTATTGTTAGAAAAATGGCACGATATACTTGCTCCATGCAAGGTTGCCACAAACCTTCAACCTGTTTAAAAACACAGTAACTATGAAGCACAGCAAAGCAAAGCACTTCAGTATAAATTGAAATTACTGTTATTAAATTGTTGAATAATTTTCTTTCTTGAATTCTTAGAAGGCTGCAAAGTATTTTAACCTGAACTCTGGATAAAACATTAATTATTGAGTGAATATAATATGATATAATTTTTCATGTGATTATAAAATTATGAGATAGCCACATAATTCAGTATATCACTTGATTTTTAATCAGATACACATAGAATGTAAATACTTGTAATATATGCTTGAAGTAAAAATGGAATAGATTGTTTTCCTGAGAACATATCTCGTATGCATTGGTTTTAAAGAAAAAATTGGAACTTTTTTTTTGTTTTTGAGACAGAGTGCAGTGGTGCAATCTTGGCTCACTGCATCCTTGACCTCCTGGACTGAAGCAATCCTTCCACCTCAGCCTCCTGAGTAGCTGGGATCACAGGTGTGCATCAGCATGCTCAGCTAATTTTTTATTTGTTGTAGAGATGGGTCTGTATATCCCCAGCTGGTCTTGAACTCCTAGGCTCAGCAGTCCTCTTGTCTCCACCTCCGAAAGTGTTGGGATTACAGGCATGAGCCACTGTTCCTGGCTGAAGTTAACATTTTAATCAGATTTACAGATTGTTATTTATAGAATGTATTCATGACTGTGATGATTTATCTGTTTTTTTTTTTTTTTTTTTTTTCTGAGACAGAGTTTTGCTCTGTCGCCCAGGCTGCAGTGCCGTGGCGCAATCTTGGCTCATTGCAGCCTCTGCCTCCTGGGTTCAAGCACTTCTCCTGCCTCAGCCTCCCGAGTATCTGGGATTACAGATGCACACCACTATGCCTGGCTAATTTTTGTATTTTTAGTAGAGATGGGGTTTCATCATGTTGGCCAGGCTGGTTTCGAACTCCTGACCTCGTCATGATCCATCCACCTTGGCCTCCCAAAGTGCTGGGATTACAGGTGTGAGCCACCACGCCCAGCCGATGTAACTGGTTTTTAAAATCCTTCTTAAAGGTACATCATTACCTGAAGTATCATCTAATAAGATTTTACTTCTTCAAAAGATTTTTAAAAATATGTTTACATTAATATTAAGGTTAATGTGCAATTCATTAGCAAAACACAAATTAGCACTCTAAATATACTTGAGGTTGTGGTAGGATTTTCACTAGTTTGTTCACACATTCATTCACCTAGTCTGTAGAATTCCCAGTGTTTATAGTTGTACTCCTGCTGCTGACAGTTAGGTGTGGCAATGGAAAGTATTAGGGATAACTGGGTTTTTGCATTAGATTGAAGTTCCAACCAGGCAAATTTTAAATTTAATGTGAAAACACTAAGTATGTATGGGATTTGGCTACTTCTCAAAATTAAATGTTTCACTTGGAGAAATAATAGAACCTTTCTCATCAGTCATCTTCAGTGGAAGAATACTTTTTCTTTGTGGCCTGGCTTGATGTTTGAATGTAAATTCTTTCAAATTCCATTTAGAGCTAACCCATACAATATAAAACAATTTCAATTATTTAATATTTTAAAGCTAAAATATTATTTAGAGTAAAATTACAGGGCTTCTTTTGCTGAGGAGCAAAATTCTGGTTAATTTTTATGCAGGTACAAATGTCTAAAATTCTTCTCCATAAATTTTCTGTGGCTGTTAAGGTAGAAAATAGCTGGAGCTTGTGAGTTAGGAAAATAAAATTGTGGGAAATCAGGTACTGTTTCCAATTATGGCATAGTCAGTGGAAAGAACAGTAAAACATAATTGAAGAAATCTGTTTGTCAATCCTTATGCCAGTATCACACAATCTTAGTTCATTTTGTGCTGCTGTAACAGAGTCCCACAGACTGGGTAATTTATAATGAACAGATATTTATTGGCTCACAGTTCTAGAGGCTGGGATGTCCAATATCAAGGTGCTGGCATCTGGCAGGAGCCTTGTTCCTGCTTCATAGCATAGTGGAAGGCATATGCCAGCAGGGTGAGAGACAGCAAAAAGGGTTAACCATTCTCAGTGATAATGGCATTAGTCAGTTTGTGAGGCACCCTCATAACTTAAACACCTCTTAAAGGTCTCATCTCACAATACAATCACAGTGACATTTACATTTCAACATGAGTTTTGGAGGAAATACATTCAGACCTAGCTTATACTATCCTGATTACCATAATTGGTTTTGTCTTCTTCCAACTTTCTATTTTTTTTAAAAGAATGCTTTGGCTAATCTGGGATATTTTATTCTCATGTAAATTTTAGAATCAGTTTGTCAATTTTTGCAGTTAAAAAACCTAGTGAGATTAATTCAATTTTTAAAATAGATATAGTCTATATAGACTTTCTGTTATTTTCAGTAATTTAGTTTTTTAAAAAAGATATTTGTCTATTCCATGTAAATTGTCAAATTTATTTGTGTTAAGTTGTTTATAACATTTCTATCTTTTTTTTTTCTCTGTTTTGTTTTTCATTTTTTGAGTCAGAGTCCTGCTCTGTCACCCAGCCTGGAATGCAGCGGCCCTGTCTCGGCTCACTGCAACCTCTGACTCACAGGTTCAAGCAATTCTCATGCCTCAGCCTCCTGAGTAGCTGGGATTACAGGTGTGTGCCACCATGCCCAGCTAATTTTTGTATTTTTAGTAGAGACGGAGTTTCATCATGTTGGCCAGGCTGGTCTCAAACTCCTGGGCTCAAGCGATCCACCTGCCTTGGCCTTCCAAAGTGTTGGGATTACAGGCATGAGCCACTGTACCTGGCTCTATAAGATTTCTTTATTACCCTTTTAATTTCTGTAATATCTTGTATTAGTTATTTATTGCTTCATAACAGATTATACTTGAACAACAGCTTAAAACAACCAACATTTATTATCATAATTCCTTTGGGTCAGGAATCTCAGCTGAATGCCTCTGACTCAGGATCTTCCACAGTGCTGCAGTCAAGGTTTGGCCAGGGCTATAGTCATTTCAAGGCATGACTTGAAGAGGACCTACTTTCAAGATTACTCAGATATAGAATTCTGGATTGACATTCTCTACCTCTTTCATCATATTAAAGATTCCTTTCCATCGTCTTTTGGGCTTCATTGTTTCAAATAACAAGCTACTCATTTTCATTCTGTGTTGTGTTTCTATGGCTGCTGTCAAGATTTTCTGTTTAGCTTTGGTTTTCAGCTGTTTATTTATTATGTGCCTAAATATGGTTTTCTTTGTTTTATCTTTTTTGGGGTTTGCCAAAATTCTGGAGTCTTTAAATTTATATCTTCCACCAAATTTGGGAAAATTTTGGCCATTGTTTCTTTTTCTCTGCCGTATCTCTCTTCTTTATTTCTGGGACTTCAGTTAACACATATGGCAGACCTTTTGATTTTATCTTATAACTCACTATGGAATAATTTTCTTCAACTTCTCTTTTTTGTTTTTCAGATTCAAAAATTTCTTTTGGTTTATCTTCAAGTTTACCGACTCTTCCATCTATACAGTGAATTTTTAAAAATATATTAAAAATTCTTGAATTTTCATTTTGCTCTTTTTTTAATAGTTTCTTTTCTTTTGCCGAACTTACCTATTTTTAATGAGCTTTTGTTGTTGTTATCTGATGCATAATTGTAATAGCTATTTTAATATTGCTAATTTTAACATCTGAGTTATCTCTAGACTTGGTCTTCATTGATTGGTTTTTCTTATGGAATAGTTTTGGATATTTCACAATTGGCAGCAAGAATCCAACATCACATTGAAAACTGCAATTGTATATTGTAAAATTTTTGGTATACGTTCTTATTGTTCTCTTATAACTTCCAGCAATGCCCTTTTACAAAATGGATGTTTTAACATGATCTTTGCTTTCTTTTGCAGGGCATCTTCTCTGCATTCAGTTTCATCCAAGTCATTCCGGGATTTCTTACTAGAAGAAAAAAAGTCTGTTACTAGCCATAGTTCAGGCGATCATGTCAAAAAAGTTTCTTTTAAAGGAATTGAAAATTCTCAGGCACCAAAAATTGTCAGGTAATAAAACAAACTTAAAACTAATACATTTTCTACCTTAAAATATTCTGTGGTGGTTTTATGTTCTGAAATAATCCTTAAAACTTTATGAGGCAGATTTTTTGTACACTCTTTTACATTCAGAATTAAAATTAGCATGTTTAAATTCCTTCCCCACTTAAAAAAAATTGAAACGGTTACGGAGATATAATTGACTTAAAATCAATTGCGTATATTTAAAGTATACATTCTGTAGTTTCAGCGTATATATACACCTATGACACCAACACAACATTCAAAATAGTGAACATAAGCATCATTTTCAGATGTTTTGTCATGTCCCTTTGTAATCCCTTCCTCTCTTCCTTCTGTTTCCCCCTCCCAAGCAGCTACTAATCTACCAATAAAGATTAGCTTGTACATTTTAGAGTTTTATATCAGCAGGGTCGTGCAGTATGTACCCATTGTAAAATCTGTCTTCTTTTACTCAGCATAATTATTTTGAGATTTATTCATGCTGTTATGGGTATCCATTGATTCTGTTTCACTACTGAATAGTATTTCATTGTATGGGTATACCACATCAATGTGTTTATCTGTGCATCTGTTGATGGACCTTTAGGTATTTGCAATTTTTTCTCTAGCTATTTTTTAATTTTAATTTTCATGAAAGTAGAGATGGGGGTCTCATTATGTTGCCCAGGCTGGTCTCAAACCCCTGGCCTCAAGCAGTTCTTCTACCTCAGCCTCCCAAAGTTCTAGGATTACAGGCATGAGCCGCCACACCTGGCCTAGCTATTTTTGATACTGCTTTAGAAAGTCCAATGTATTTAAAAAAAAGTTTCATATTTTAAATGCCTACATGAAACATCAAAATCTATCTATAATTTAAAAGCAGTATTTTCAGTGAGCTGTGATCAAACCACTGCACTCCAGCATGGGTGACAGAGTGAGACCTGGTCTCAGACAAAACAAAACAAAATAAGTAAGATATGTTATGTCCAATTCAAGTGCATCAAACAGATAATATAAACTTTTCTGACTGAAGCAAGGAACAGAGACTGGGAGCTATACTAGTTTAATGTCACTTTACCTGTCCTGAGGAACTATCAAAGTCTTCTGACAACAATGTTTGGAAACTCCTGATTTAGATTAAATGTTTAGGCATATTTTTATTGTTACTATTGTGACTGTCTTCTTTTTTACAGATACTTAGATTTAGGCGGAAAGTTCTTGAGCCGTTTTCTTGCAATACAGAAAATCAAAGAGCAAAAAATATCTGAAGTCATCTCCCTAACTTGTCTAATACTTCTAGCATTAAAATACTATTTTAAAATTAAAATCTTAGGCTGAGTTCAGTGGCTTAATGCCTGTAATCCTAGCACTTTGGGAGGCCGAGGTGGGCAGATCACTTGAGTCCAGGGGTTCAAGACCAGCCTGGCAACATGATGAAACCCTGTCTCTACAAAAAATAGCAAGAAAAATAAATTAGCTCGGCTTGGTGGCATGTGCACGTAGTCCCAGCTATTCAGGAGGCTGGGTGGGAGGATTGCTTGAGCCTGGGAGGTAAAGGCTGCAGTTAGCCATGATTGTGCCACTGCACTCCAGCCTGAGTGACAGAGGGAGACCCCGTCTCAAAAAACAAAACAAAACAAAATAAAAAAACCTTAAATGGAATACTAACATATGAAGCAGATTAAGCCTTTTTGCATATTTATAAATTACAATTATAATTATGATAGGCTTATAAATATAAAACTAGGTACATAGTCTTAAAATTGTCTATCAAACATTTATTGATTATGAGCTTTGTGTCAAACATTATGCTAAGTACTAGAGTTGCAGTGGTGAACAAATTAGCCCCTGCCTATGGTGAACAAATTAGCCCCTGCCTATATAGAACTATCCTCCTTTCTTGTTTTGTCATAGAAGAGTTATCTCTCCTATCTTAGGCCAATACCTGTGCTTTTATCTTAATGCTTCCCATTTCAGAAGCCTGAAAACTATTAATTACCCCTTTCCTTTCTTGTGTAAGATTCAACATTTTCCTTTTAACTAGATTCTTCCCCTCTGGTTTTGAATGTGCTCAGGTCTCTCATGTGGTCTGGGCACACTTTCTTCTATCAGTTGTCCTATCATTACCAATTCTCCATCCACTTCACAGCCAGATTTCTCAAAAGAGTTGTCACCTCCCAATCAGTCCGTAATTGATTCTATCTCCCAGCCCCATTACTAAACTGAAACAGTACCAGTACAGGCTAAGTTCAACAGTGACCTTTGTATTGCCAACACCATCCACTTTTTATGTGACTCATCATACTTGAAGTTCAATTACTGGTCGTCGTCTTATTTCACTTTATATTCTTTCTACACTATCCATTTAATGAGCATATGTTCAGTCGTCAGACATGTACTAAAGTCTCAAAATTTATATCTCTTGCCCATATCTATCATCTGAACTTTAGACTTAATTATCTCTTATTGACCCTACCATTCTATCTGGATGTTCAGAAAGACCACAAACTTCATGTCCAAAACTAAACTTAATGTTTTCCTCATACCCATCTCATAAAACCAAAATCAAACAAAAATATAGACAAAACATAGAACAGCCTGTTTTTTCGGAATCTTCTTCCTCAGTAAATAGGAAGAATTTGTGTCTTTGGCACTTCCATTTTCTTCACAAATATTCAGTCTACTGTTAGAGCATTCCACTTTTATCTCTTAAATATTTCTCAAATCCATATACTAAATTTTATCTCCAGTGCTATCACCTCTGAGTCAGTCTGGTGTGATACTTCACCTGGGCCACCAGAGTTACCCTCCTGACTGGTCTTGCCTTTCTTTACTCCAAATATATTAAGCCAGTATGTTCTTTTTTAAAATTTGGAGTTTACTGCTTTTAAGAGAAAAGCTATAGCATTCTTAACATGGCCTTCAAGGCCTACATAGTCTGGCTCCTGCCAACTGTCTTTAACTTGATTTTGTAACCTGATCTCTGTATTCTAGTCATCTTGGCCTTCTCTTAGTTCTCAAATGCACTTTCCTTCTTTCCACCTCCTTACTCTTTGACAGACTGACGACTCTGACTCTTCTTTCAATATCTATTCAGTTATATTCTTTGGAGAAGTCTGACTTACTGGGGCAGTTTGCTGTTGTTTGTTCTCATAGTACTTCTTTTTTATTGTACGTTCCATATTTATTAGTGTGATTCTTTAATATTTGTCTACTCTAAGTATTTTCATGTTTGTATGTTTAATTATATGTTCAATGAGAGCAAGGAGGATGTTTGTCTTTGCTCATCATTTTACTACCAGTGTTCATATTAGCTTCTGGCATGTATTGGGTGCTCAGTGAGTCTGGTGAATGAATGAGTAAATTAATTGAAATTGTAACCCTGTTTCAAGTAACATTTGTTTCTAATGTAGTGAGTTATATTGCATGTCTTAGATATATCAATTTAAAGGTATGAAAATTAAGATAAGTTTTGTATTTTTATATTTTAAATATTAATATTCATTGAAACTTAAAAAAAAGTCTTTAGATATATAACGATTTGTCATGGAACTTAAAATATGGATCTGTGGTTTCATAGTTGATCACTAGAGTGTGCTATAACATCAGGGCTCTTAATTATAAGTGTGCCCTGTTATACTGCTTTGGAAGTTTGACTCAATGGAGTTTATGACAGTATGATATATCCATAGCTTCAGTATTTTTGGTATGGGAGTTAATGTTTTAAATAGCTTTGGCTATCACTGCTAGTGATTCTGAGAAAGAAGACAGATAGCTTTGAGTTTCAGGGTTTTTTTCCATCATAGAAAACATAATAAGTATGCTTTTTTAAAAAGGAAATATTAAACATTACAGACAAACTAAAATATTCATTAATTTGCAAATTATGGGCTACCTGGTACTGGCCTGTGTTGGGTATATATAAAAGTAGAATGTATAGGTGCAGCCTTTAATGTGTCTGAAATCTAGTTGATAAATATTAATATACATACATGGAAGTTAAATGACAGAATAAGAATGAAATTACGATACAAGGGCCAGGCGCTGTGGCTCATGCCTGTAATCCCAGCACTTTGTGGGGCTGATGTGGGCGGATCACATGAGGCCAGGAGTTTGAGACAAGCCTGGCCAACATGGGGAAACCTTGTCTCTACTAAAAATACAAAAATTAGGCCGGGCGTGGTGGCTCATGCCTGTAATCTCAGCACTTTGGGAGGCCGAGGCAGGCAAATCACCTGAGGTCGGGACTTCAAGACCAGCCTGACCAACATGGAGAAACCCTATCTCTACTAAAAATATAAAATTAGCCGGGCCAGGGGTGGCACATGCCTGTAATCCCAGCTACTTGGGAGGCTAAGGAAGGAAAATTGCTTGAACCCAGGAGGCGGAGGTTGTGGTGAGCCGAGATTGTGCCATTGCACTCCAGCCTGGGCAACAAGAGTGAAACTCCATCTCAAAAAATAAATAAATAAATAAAAAGAGAAATAAATAAGTAAATAAATAAATAAGCTAGCCAGGCATAGTGGTGCATGTCTGTAATTTAGCTACTAGGGAGGCTGAGGCAGGAGAATTGCTTGAACCCAGGAGGTGGAAGTTGCAGTGAGCCAGGATCACGTCACCGCACTCCAGCCTGAGCGACAGAGTGAGACTCTGTCTCCAAAAACAACAACAACAACAACAACAACAAAACAAAAAGAAATTACGATACAATATGGAAGTATTAAAGAGATTACAATATGATGAAGTACCAAATGAGTGGTTCTGAGAAGAAAAACTGAGCATGGGCTGGTGTTGTCAGGAAGACTTCATTGCAGAAGAAGGGCTTGAGCTGGGTCAGTTCATAAGCACTTTTTATATTCATTTCCAAATATTTTATTATTATATTTATAAGCATGTGAAAAACATTAGAAAAAAAGAGATCACTTAATTCTTGATTCCTTTCATTGTCATAAGCTTTTGAATACAGGATGGGATTTTTAAAAGAAGAAATAAGAGAAGATGGGGCAGTATAAACAGAGGAAATCGTGGGAGTTAAGAAGATAGGAATGCTTATGGTCCTTTGGGGAGTTAGGGTGCCAGGGGTGGGGGACTCATCTCAGGAAATTCCACAAATTATACATTCTTGTTTTAGTTCTAGAAAATGTGATTTTTTTCCAAGGTTAGGGCAAGAATGACAATGTTGTTTGAGGGTGTTAACATCTAAAAGTGAGCAATTTGTACAATTTTTATTTGTTTATTGTTACTTAGGTATTCTTTTTTATTTCATGTGCTTTTATTTCTCATTTTCCTTTCACTGAAATGTCCCCTTATGTAATTCTGGAAAGAAAATGTAAGCTTGTGTTTCTTTTTTTTTTTTTTTTTTTGAGACGGACTCTCGCTCTTGTCACCCAGGATGGAGTGCAATGGCGTGATCTCCGCTCACTGCAACCTCTGCCTCCCAGGTTCAAGTGATTCTCTAGCCTCAGCCTCCCCAGTAGCTGGGACTACAGGCGCCTGCCACCATGCCTGGCTGATTTTTATATTTTTAATACAGACAGGGTTTTGCCATGTTGGCCAGGCTAGTCTCGAACTCCTGACCTCAGGTGATCTGCCCACAGCCTCCCAAAGTGCTGGGATTCCAGGTGTGAGCCACTGTGCCCAGCTGAGCTTGTGTTTCTAATTAGTGAAAAAAACTACTTGTGAGAAAAAAATTATTCTGTGATTATATCAGCTCCAATCTGATATAAAAATCTTTCTAATTAAGCCAGTACAATTTTTTTAAGGCCAACTGAGCAAAGAATAATTTAGTTCCTTTAAAGTGTAAATGTGACAATATTAATGTTTTTTGGTTTGAACAAAAATCTTTTTTTTTTTTTGAGATGGAGTTTCGTTCTTGTTGCCCAGGCTGGAGTGCAATGGCTTGATCTCAGCTCACCGCAACCTCTGCCTCCTGGGTTCAAGCGATTCTCCTGCCTCCGCCACCCTAGTAGCTGGGATTACAGGTATGCGCCACCAAGCCTGGCTAATTTTGTATTTTTAGTAGAGATGGGATTTCTCCATGTTGGTCAGGGTGGTCTCGAACTCCTGACCTCAGGTGATCCGCCTGCCTCGGCCTCCCAAAGTGCTGGGATTACAGGCGTGAGCCACTGCACCTGGCCAGAACAAAAATCTTTTAAGGAAAATTTCAGTTAACCTTTTTATGTTGCTGTTTATTTTCAGAAGGCTAAATTTTCTACAGATTGTCTCTTGCGATATCTACTTCTATGTTGCTAATGTTGAAAACTCAATAATGCTATATTTATTATTTGAAAGTTTAGAATGTTTTTGATATTTGTTTAATCATAGCTCTATTTTATTTGACAAATTTGGTTCATTTTAAGAAGAAATTTTGACAGACTCCACATTGGATAAATTTGTAATTAATGAAATTATCCGTTGAAACATCATGAGTGGAAAAAGTTATGGAATTGTAGTCTTAGGAAACATATTTGAGATTCAGTATAACATTATACAGCTCTTTCTGAGTCTTTCTGTACCTCAGTTTCATAATATGGAAATGAGAGTAGTAATACCTATCATGCAGGCTTACTACAAGGCTTATATCAGTTTGTAATTCAGTACTTATATCTCTAAGAAAAGTTATCAGTAATTTAAAGCAATAAAGAACCTAAAAACCTCTGCTTTTCATTATCGTATACTAAAAAAATACCCTTTGAGTTTCTGTTTCAGTCGTTAATTTTCTAATTAATTTTTCATAAACGACTATTTCCAAGTATTCTGGTGGACACTGAGATACAAAGATGAATGAAACACAGTCCTGTTCCCCAAGAGACTAGTCTAGCAGTTAAGATTGACATGTAAACAATAATAACAGTGTGTGATGCTTTATCATAATGATTGAAGTTTTGTAGGAGGAGAGAGAAGGTGACATTTGAGCCAACTGTAAAAGAGTGAGAAGACATTTGAAGTGGAATATATTCCAGAATAAGGGGAATAGTAAAAATAAAGGTAGCTGTGTGATCATGGAAAAAACACTGTACTCTAAATCAAAAAGACCAGATTTTTGTTATCTCTCTGCTACTTATCTAACTTGTTAATCAGACAAATTATATAATATTCTTTGAGTTTGTTTTTTAATCTCTATAATAGTTAATATATGCTTTCTTCACAGGGTATTGCAAAGATTAAATGGGATAATACACATGAAGTACTTAGGCTTTTAGTAAATTTGTTTGCCCACACATTAGGGCTAAACATTTTAGCTTTCAGTGCATTTTGTACTCTGGCTCTATTGTTTCTTTTAAACTTTATTTCTCTTTAAGTTTCTTCCTTACCCTGAATTCAGGCATTCTTTGCTTATTGAAGAGAACAGCCTGCCTTTACTTAAATAACTGAAATCTTTTTTAGGTCCATGTATTTGTACAACCAAAATTCTTTCTAATTGTACGTCTCCTCAGCTTTAATGTCATTTCCTCAGTGAAGCCATCAGTATATACAATCTTCCATATTGTATTTTTTCTTCTGTGCATCCATAGTACTTTATACATTGTTTTATCATTGCTTAAGTATATTTTTAAATCTTCCCCATCAGAATTTTTTGAGGGGAGAAGATTGGGTTTTAATCAGCCTGATTTTTAGCACCTACAGTAATCCTGACATGCTCAATAAATGTGTATAAATGAATCACGAAGTCAATATTTTAGGTCCTGTTAATTTACTCTCTGTTTGACTTTGTGTTGTTAAACCTGTCTAGTCCTCAGTTTTCTCATTGCTGAAAGAGAGCATTGGAGCAATCTAGATAATCTCTAGGGACCTTTCTAGCTGTAAAATTCCATAATTAGGTCCATCTGTATTGTACCTTTTTAAGTTTTTCTCCTTACTGGAATGCTTCTTACTGCTTTCATCATATACCTCTTTTTTATTATCTTCTCAAGTTCATTCCATCCATGAGGCCCTCTCAAATGATTAAATATTGTGATTTTTATAGTTGTTATAGCCAGTGTGACTCAATTTGTTATACTGTCTTAAATTCTGTTCTGTTATTTTATATGTCATTTTGTATGTTGTTTCCTCAACTAGCTTGTGAATTCTTAGAAGGTAAAGATCATATTTTATATTTCTGTCCTATCTGTAATCCTTTGCTCATAAAGTATATTAGTTCCTTACAAAATTCGGCTGTTAATTATCTGATTTAGAGATTATTGGTTTATCTGGTGTGTGTATATATATATTTATTATTAGAAATAGGCTATTTCTTGCAGTATCTTTCTCTATGATATTTTATACAGAAGGTTTTATAAATATAGATTATTTTGTTTACTTATAATTTTAAAGGTAAGCTTGACTGCACTCATTTAATTTGCCTCTGGAGTCAGGAGTTTACAATTCTTCCTCTGTATCTATTAATAAGCAGTTTGACTAATATTACTAGAAGCTTTAATCTTTAATTTTGGCATTTGTTTTGCAGATGCTCTACCCATGGTACCCCAGGACCAGAAGGCAACCATATTTCAGATTTACCACTTCTAGACAGTCCCAAGTAAGGTTAATTGATAAGTTATGGGCCTCCAAAGCTAAGTTGCTGCTTAGCATTGAAAACATTAAGGCTGAGTGCAGTGGCTCATGCCTATAATCCCAGCACTCTGGGAGACTGAGGCGGGTGGATCATCTGAGGTCAGGAGTTCAAGACCAGCCTAGCCAACATGGCAAAACCCTGTCTTTACTAAAAATACAAAACTTAGCTGGGCATGGTGGCGCATGCCTGTGATGCCAGCTACTCATGAAGCTAGGACAGGAGAATCGTTTGAACCTGGGAGGCAGAGATTGCATTGAGCCGCGATCATGCCACTGTACTCCAGCCGGGGCGACACAGTGAGACTCTGTCTCAAAAAAAAAAAAAAAAAAAGAGAATAAGAGAATGTTAAGAAATTGGGAATAGTATGGTATTGAGTAGAATGTATTACTTGTATCCTCTCCGTACTGTAGTTTGAGTTACCTTTCTGTTCAGTTATGTTGTTTCTGCTCCCTCCCCATTTCCTGGTACTTTCCAAAATTTTCTCTCTAATACTGGTCCAAATAAAACATTAGTTCTTCTGTTTTTCTGTTTCTCACCTCATCATTCTGTAATCTCTGCGAAAGCTTCCAGGTTCGCTCATCGTAGGTCACTGGAAAAAATTGTAGCATTGCTAAAGAGTATTTCAGAGAAAATTTTGCATGCAAAAATTTAGGAAGATGAGTGAAACTCATCATTCTGTAATCTCTGTGAAAGCTTCCAGGTTCGTTCATTGTAGGTCACTGGAAAGAATTGTAGCATTGCTAAAAAGTATTTCAGAGAAAATTTTGCATGCAAAAATTTAGGAAGATGAATGAAACTCATTATTATTATTCTTTCAGTCCCTGGCTATCTTCTTCAGTGACTGCTCCATCCATGGTAGCCCCAGTCACTTTTGCATCTATTGTAGAAGAAGAACTACAACAAGAAGCAGCTCTTATTAGAAGTCGAGAAAAACCGTTGGCTCTGATTCAGGTAAATAACATACTTAGTAGGGTTTAATTTAGAGAAGAACTACATTTCCTACTTAGGTTTTAAGAAAATCGTGTTTGTTTGTTTTGGACAGGTGCTTGTATCTATGAAATTAAAATGTAAATGCCAGGTAAAATTAAACTGAGGCATCTAGCAGTGTATGTATTAGTTGTAGATATTCAGGGCAATTAATTTATGACTAATAAATTATGATAAAGCTTATATTTTTGCTTTGGTGATACTTTGGATTATTTTAGTTTTTTTAAAATGACCAGTAGAGAATTTGGCAGTATTCTCTAGTGCTGCACTTGGCTTCTGTATCAGTAAGAATTCTAAGATTGTAAGCAACAGAAGCCCACTCTGGCTAACTTAAGGAAAAGATAATTTATTTGAGGGATATTAAGATTCCATAGACTTAGCTGAAAGACCAGACAGCCAGGCTTGGAAACAGAAAAGACGCATAGTAGCACTGGAAAGCTCAGAAGCAAGATTTAGAAGACTTGTACAACAACAGAAAGTATCTCACAGAATAAAGCTATTGGAATGAATGAATTTTAGCAACCATTTTCAGTTTCTTTTTCCTTCTGCTCAAGATTCAAATTGAAGAGCGCATGGGTATCTCATGATTCTACCTCACACCTCAAGCTTTCTCCTTGCCACAGAGATAGCAGGATACCTGATTTAAAATGCAGGATACCTGATTTAATTTCACTGTATTGTATCCATGGAAAGTGATAGTTCCTCAAAAGGAAATTGGAAGGCAAATACATCCTGCTTAGTTTATAATTAAAAGAGTAAAGAGTCTTCTTTCCCTTCCTCCTTTCAGATTGAGGAGCATGCCATACAAGATTTATTGGTTTTCTATGAGGCATTTGGCAACCCTGAAGAGTTTGTCATTGTTGAAAGGACACCGCAGGGACCACTGGCAGTACCTATGTGGAATAAGCATGGATGCTAGTTCACTGTGGAGTTGAGATGCATTTTACATAATTATGAGTTTGTTCATATAAAGAAAAGCTGTGGAAAAGAGTCTTAGAGATTTTGTAATATCATTCTAAATAGATTAAGAAAAGATATAATTTCTTTACTGCAGTTAAATCATATAATGTTTGTATGATTAAAAATAAATTTCTCAGAATTGTGATTTTAGTAACTTTATATAAAATGTGTGAGACAAAAACTTATTAAGGTTAAATAGAATTGTTTCTTCTGAATAATCTAACAAAGGAAAATATAAGTGATTGAATCATAAGATATAAGGGGGGTAAAGTATTAAAAATAACTTTTTTGTTTGATAACTTGAGAATTTAGAAGATTTTGCCAAGTATGTGTTGTTGCTTGACTTCTTAAATATGGCATTGATGAATTTAAAGTAGGAGCATCAGTTATTACTTCTGATTCATTAATGGCCAGAATTTTGTGTTTGGTGTAATAGTTGTGTCACCATTCTTGTTGCTTTTTAAAAATCAGGCTAATCATGTGGTCCATGTCTCTTCAAAGCTTGACCTGCACAAATGCCATATTTCTATTTGGACCACATATTCTCCATTTTGCATTGAGCAGTAGAGTACAGTGGAAAGGGAATAAGAATACTGATTATTCTGAACAGTTTAGTCCCAAGAGAATAGCGTTTTAAAAAAGAAAAACAAGATTTGGAGTCATTGTGGGTTATTTTTGGTGGGATGGAGGATCTTAAAAATGCCTAATTGTGAGAGAATCAATTGCTGAAAGTGTTAAAATTTCTGAAAATAAATGCTTAATTACATATACAGGAATTAAATAGTTTGGAAGAGGGTTGGATTATCATTACCTTTACAATACTGTATAATCAGAAGTTCTCTGAACCTCAATTGTATATCTAGACATAAAAATTGTTTTCTGTATAGGATGTTGTTTGGTTTGTTTCTGAGTGTTTAAATTTTGCAAAAACAAATGTTAAATTTGTGCTTCAGTACCTAGATAAATTGGAAAGGTTAATGTTCTAGTTTCTGGAAGGTAAGCCTGGGAGACACATAAGCAATTCACTGCTATAATTTAGTTGATGTAAAATGACGGAAACTGACTCAATATGTCAGGTTTAACTCTGCCCAAAAGCAGCAGACATGTAAGCAGATGTGCAATAAAAAATGATCTTGATCCATTTCACTAATGTGTGCTTGACATTTTTTACTATATTGACATTTATTATGGAAAGAGTTAATAATTATTTTTTCTGATGTGCTACACTAGTGGCCAGTATATGGTTAAGTTGATGCTGTATTTATTCTAAGACGGATTTAAAAAGGCAGTTTTCTAAATATGAACTTGTGAATTTTTGTATGTGTGTTTGAGTAAATTGAGAAATGAATTTTATAAATGTTCTATTGATGTTGCAGTAAAGAAGCCTTTTGAAGTAATTGATTTCATTTGAAGCTTTGATTCTTCTGTATATGTTGACATCTTTAATATTTACAGATGCTGTAAAGTGATGATTTTCTTGCTGTCCTCCGTGCTGCCTGGGAAGCACTCTTGGGGGTCTTTGTTGGATGGGGTGTGAAAGAGGGGCAAGAGCTGAACCGCATCTGTGAGGCTTTAGGCAGTTACAAACTACAACCAGAGCAGTTGCACTTTATGGTCTGTTTTATGTAGTGAGGTATTATATATAATTTTATTGGGAAAAAAGGAGTTCTTTTGCTAGTAAAGTTAAAGAGAAACACTGTCATAAACTGTATTTCTTCATAAATAATTCCATGAAGATAGCTATCTGACACATTGCTGTCAAAAAGCCCAGGAAAGTGATAAGGGTTTTCTTTCTCCCCTAACAAAATAACATTATTCTGCTACAGTATTCATCTCTAATTCCATAACCTCAAAAAGACCTGATAGAATTGAATAAATACTGGAAATGACAAATTTAAAATATCAGTGGGATAGAGAGATCTTTAAGATTTATGAAAACAATTACAGAACTCTTTTTTTTTTTTTTTAATTGAGGCACAATCTCACTCCATCACTCAGACTGGAGTGCAGTGGCAGGATCTTGGCTGACTGCAACCTTTGCCTCCTGGCAGAACTCTTCAGCCTGAAAAAGCGATGGTTGGGTAGGACATTGGGATAAGGGTATGTCAGAGGCAGAATATGCTTAAAACTTGCAAAATCAAGAAGACTGCTAATCAGGTAAAGTCAAATTTGTTGACAAAATATTGGGATTCAGGACTCTTCTTCAAGTCCTAAAGAGATGGTTTTTAAAATAAATTTAAGAAAACCTAGCTTTATATAGGAGCAATATCCAGTCATTTGAGAAAGCATTGCTAGTTATGTCTGGGTTGATTCCCTTTAACTGTTTTGGAGGCCAGGGTGTATATATTTGTTCATGATAAGGTGTAAATAGCTCTTTCATAAAATTTTAGATCTGAAGCCTTATTGATTAATTTTAATGTATATTCTCTTCATTTTATAAATTGAAGAAAGCTGGCCGGGCGTGGTGCTCATGCTATAATTCCAGTACTCTGGGAGGGCGATGCTGGTGGATCACTTGAGGCCAGGAGTTCAAGACCAGGCTGACCAACATGGTGAAACCCCGTCTTTACTAAAAATACAAAAATTAGCCAAATGTGGTAGTGGGCGCCTGTAATCCCAGCTACTTAGGAGGCTGAGGTAGGAGGATCACCTGAGTCAGGGAGGCGGAGGTTGCAGTGAACCAACATCATGCCACTGTGCTCCAGCCTGGGTGACAGAGTGAGACCCCATCTCAAAAAAAAATTGTACATATAGTGGTGGAGCCAAACTTGACCTGATGTTTCTCCCAAATATGGTTCAAGCTTTGCTCATGCTGATCTCTACCTAAATTTTTCTTTTTCTTCAGATAAAATTCTACCTATCCATAATTAAGGCAATCAAAATTCTCTTTCCTTTATAGTTTTTCTGGTTTCCCTCCATACACCCTCAAACATAAAGTAACATAAAAACAGTAGCATACATGGATCAGCTATGTTCTCATTTCCTTGTAACCCTATACCTTTCAGGGTACTTGTCATATTCTGCCATTACTTTTGTTTTTCTATTAATCTAGTCTTTTACTAAATTACTTGTACTTTGAGAACATAGACTAGGCATTCTTTTCTTTCTTGTATATGTGTATGTTTAAATCTTTTAAAATCTTGAACCATAACATAAAGAGGTAAGTGCACAAGACAAAAATATTTAGCTAAGTAATTTACCAGTAAGTCAAGAAGTGGACCATGACAGCACTTCAGAAAGAGGTCCTGGATTTGATTTGCTAACATTTCAATGAAGACTTTTGCATCTGTATTCATGAGAGATATCGGTCTGTGGTTTTCTTTTTCTTTTCCTTTTTTTTTCCTATCTTTTACTCTGGTATCACTGTAATAGCAGCCTTATAGAGTGAATTGGGAAGGATTCACTTTTATGGAAGTGTTCATAAATGATTGGTATTATTTCTTATTTAAATATTTGATAGAATTAACTAGTGGAATCATCCAGGTGTGGGATTTTCTTTGTGGGAAGATTTTAAATTATTATTATTTTTTCTATTTCTTTACATATTACAGGCCTGTTGAGATTTTCTATATGTTCTTTATTCAGTTTCAATAATTTGTTCTTTCTAGGAATTTATCTGGTTCATCTTAGTTGTCTAGTTTGTTCATAGTAGTGCCTTACAGTCCTTTTAATTTCATAAGGTTTGGTGGTCAAGTTCCTCCCTACTTTTGTAATTTTGGTAATCTTTATTTTCTCTCTCTCTCTTTTTTTTCTTTAACCATATCAGTCAACATTGAAGTTGTCAAAGAAGTTATTGAAGTCAAAGAACCAGCTTGGGGTTCATTGATTTTTCTCTGCTCTCTTTTCTTTTTCTTTGGTTCTGTTCTCTTTATTATTATTTTCTGCTTCCTTTAGCTTTAATTTGCTGTTCTTTTCTATACATTCAGGCTTAGAGAGTTCTCTTTTTCTCAAATACAGGCATGTAGACCTATAGATTTCCCTCTAAGCACTGCTTTAGCTGCATCTCATAAATTTGTATATGTCATGTTTTTATTTTCATTCAGTTCAAAATATTTTTAAATTTCATCTTGATTTCTTCTTTGAACTATGGATTACTTAAAAGTATATTGTTTAATTTTCAAGTATTTGGGAATTCTTACCAAATATGTGTTTGTTATTGATTGCTAATTTAATTTTGTTAAATTTGGAGAACTTATTTTGTATTGTTTCAGTCCTTTTAAGTTTGTTGAAATATCTTTTATAGTCTAGTATATGTGCTGTCTTGGAGAATGTTCCATGTGTACAGGAGAAGAATATGACTAAATTGACATCAATCTTATGAAATAGTAGCTTGTAGGACTTTGTATGATTGTATGTTTCCTGTGTTGAGGACATAAATGTGTCTACCTAAATAAAGGATAAGAATCTGAGGAACAAAAGAGATGGACCATATGGTAAGGGATATTGCTTATTTGCAGATCCATCCTTTGTTCTCTACTATATCTTGTGAAATTAATCTCTAGGACTTTACCAACCAGCTTATTTTCCCTCTGACATCCAGTTATCACCCTCCAAGTGATTCTGATGTGTACTAAAGTAGGTATTTTGAGCCGTAAGAGAAAGATATGCACAGGCTTGATAACCATTTGGAGCACCAGCAGAATATTGGCGTGTTGGCAGGAGAAAGAGAATGAAGCTTTTTTTTCTGCCCTCTCTCATGATGTTGTTATGAGCCACAATCGGGAAGGTCACAGCTCCTGTCGGGCAGCTCTCTCCGTATGACAATCTCTCCAGCTTCTGGGGATGTTGCTTTCCCACACCCTCAGGCCTAAGAATGGCAAAGGATCTTGCATTGTATCTAGCCCAACTAACTGCAGTATCCATTGTGGTTTTCCTACATCCTACCCAGACTTTTATAAATAATTTAATAATAATTCTCCCAAGTTGAAAGTGCTGTCTGTTTCCTGCTTGGACTCTGAAAGATGATCTAAGTAATGGAGAGAAGTAATAGAATGTAGAGATTTTGTTTGTTTTTTGAGACGGAGTTTCGCTCTTGTCGCCCAGGCTGGAGTGCAGTGGTGCGATCTCAGCTCACTGCAACCTTTGCCTCCTGGGTTCAAGGATTCTCCTGCCTCAGCCTCCCAAGTAGCTGGGATTACAAGCATGTGCCAGCACGCGTGGTTAATTTTTTGTATTTTTTTTTTTTTTTCAGTAGAGACGGGGTTTCACCATGTTGACCAGGCTGGTCTCGAACTCCTGGCCTCAAGTGATCCGCCTGCCTCAGCCTCCCAAAGCGCTGGGATTACAGGGTGAGCCACCGCGCCTGGCCGAATGTAGAGGTTTTGGTTCAAGGATATTTTACCTAGAAATTTGGCAGTGAACAGATTTATGAGAGACATAGATGGTAACTTTTAAATAGACGGTGTATTTGTTTTATATATATTTTTGAAAAAGGAGGTCTGTGCATCTAGAAGGCAGAGAGGAGTCAATGCATATAGAAAGAGACTGAGATGCTGGAAATACAGAAATAACGGTAGAATGAGAAGGAAGATAAAACCAAGAGTACAAATTTAAACTTGTTGGAAAGGAAAGAAGTGCTACTTAATTTTCTTAAACTGAGGGAAAGAAATTGAGGATAATTTTATTGATTCCTAGAGTAGCAACATCAACATCACTGGGAACATGTGATAATACAAATTCATGGGCTTTGCCTCTACTGAATTGGAAACAGGAAGGGGTGCCCGGCAATCTGTTTTAACAAGCCCTCCAGGTGATTCGGATACGTGCTAAAGTAGGTATTTTGAGGCGAAAGAGAAGGGAAGATATGCACAGGCTCGATAGTCTAGAAATATTTTCTATTGCATAGCAAGGGTTGGTAACTGGAAGAGAGTGGAAAACATTTGCTATACAAACTTAAAAGCCTTAAATTTTGTTTATTAGGAATGGGAGGCTTTTCATTAATTGATAATGAGAGGGAGATGTTTGTAAGTTGCTTACTATTAAAATCTCAAATATTTAGTACAGCTTAAAAAGATTTTGAGATGTCTTTGGGTGCCCTAGAGTTCACTAATTTTAATTATTTATAACTTCTGTGAAGAAAACAAAAGTTTTTCCAGCTACATGGTCTGTTAGAAAATAAAAATTAAATGGCTCAGACTAAGAAGATGTGGAAGAAATTATAGGGCCAGACTCATTTTCAGATACTCAAAACAAACGATCAGTTGCCAAGTAATCAAGTACCTTTTTTACATTCTTTCACCTCATCCATTCTTTATACATTTAATTATGTGTGTATGTGCTTTTTAGATCCCATACCTGTATAATTATCTTTAATTTTTAGTTTAATTTGCATAGGAAATGAATAACTGGATACATTAAAAATTTTGTTTTGATTATGAATTTATACTGCAAGTATTTTTCAAAATACTTACAATGTACTTTAGCTGTGGTGCTCAACTTAGGATGTATTTGCAGCCCCTAAAAGATAAAATCTGATAAATATACTCCTTTTAAAACAAAAGGCATTTGAAATAGCACATATCCATAATACCCTTTTAAAAGACTGAAAAAATTAAGGGAATTTCCAATCCCTTCACCTTCATATGAAAAGGTGAAAGAAAGATTTGGAGATAATATACCTTTCTCCTTTTTAGTAGAGACTTTGAGGCACAATTTAATGTGCAGTAGGATTTCTTTCTTTCTTTTTTTGAGACAGAGCCTCACTCTGTCTTCAGGCTGGATGGAGTGTAGTGGCGCGACCTCGGCTTACTGCAACCTCTGCCTCCTGGGTTCAAGCAATTCTCTTGCCTCAGCCTCCCGAGTAGCTGGAATTACAGGTGCCCACCACCACACCCGGCTAATTTTTTGTATATTTTTAGTAAAGACAGGGTTTCGCCATGTTGGCCAGGCTGGTCTCGAACTCCACGCACCTCAGCCTCCCGAAGTTTGAGGATTACAGGCGTCAGACACTGCTCCCGGCCACAGAGCTCTCTATTCAGTATAAAGATAGCATAAAGGTATTTTCAAATAAACAAAGTCTCTAATAAACCTACCATATACCCTTTCTTAGAGGCTGCTGGAGAATGTACTCCACTAAACGAAGAAATAGATTGAGAGGAAGACCTGATATCGAGGAAATAGGTAATCAACAATGAAGAGAAGGAGAGACAAGTAGAAATCTCAGATTAATGGTGAAGGGAAAGTTTATCAGACCCAGAGAGCAAACCATTCTGGTGAACTGGGGAGAATGGCAGGCCCCAGGAAGGTGACTCGAAAAGTGACAATTGGGTTATCTGACAGGTTTAACGATGGAAAAGTGTTGAGAGAAGCTTTACAGAGCTGTCAAAAGTTGGCTAAATATTTTATCCAAAGAGTTAAAAACAAAAAGCAACATATTAAATTATCTAGAGGTAGCAGAAAACAAAACAGAAAGAAGAAACCATTAAAAGAGTGCAAGTTGATTGGCTCTGGGCTGAAGTCAGGGGACAACTGTTTTGGTTTAAATCTTTTTTCTTTTCTTTTTTTTTTTTTTTGAGATGGAGTTTCTCTCTTTTGCCCAGGCTGGAGTGCAGTGGTGCTATATCGGCTCACTGCAAGCTCTGTCTCCCGGGTTCATGCCATTCTCCTGCCTCAGCCTCCCAAGTAGCTGGGACTACAGGCGCCCGCCACCATGCCAAGCTAATTTTTTGAATTTTTTAGTAGAGACGAGGTTTCACCGTGTTAGCCAGGATGGTCTCGATCTTCTGACCTCGTGATTTGCCCGCCTCGGCCTCCCAAAGTGCTGGGATTACAGGCATGAGCCACCACACCCAGTCACGACTGCAGTCTTTGTTAACACAGCAGTATAAATTCATATTCAAAACAAAAAAAAATTTAATGTATCCAGTTCTTCATTTCCTATGCAAATTAAACTAAAAATTAAAGATAATTATATAGGTATGGGATCTAAAAAGCACATACACACATAATTAAATGTATAAAGAATGGGTGAGGTAAGAGAATGTAAAAAAGGTACTTGATTACTTGGCAACTGATCGTTTGTTTTGAGTATCTGAAAATGAGTCTGGTCCTATAATTTCTTCCACATCTTCTTAGTCTGAGCCGTTTAATTTTTATTTTCTAACAGACCACGTAGCTGGAAAAACTTTTGTTTTCTTCACAGAAGTTATAATAATACCGCGCCCAGCTGGTTTAAATCTTTTAAAACAAGGTTTGACTTTTTCAAGCTCTGCATATATATCACTTTTATAATTAAAAAAATTTAAAGTATAAGCTCTAAAATGTAAGTAGATAGATGGCTTTATAGAAAAGAGAACCAGACATAATTCTTACTCATATAAATGTTAACTTTATGTTTTTAATATTTTAAAATTTGAGACTATAAAGCAATTACCTTGAACTTAGTTAACATGCAAGCTCTAATTATTATTATTATTATTATTATTATTATTATTATTATTATTTTCTTTTTTTTTTTTTAGACAGAGTCTCGCTCTGTCGCCCAGGCTGGAGTGCAGTGGCGCGATCTCGGCTCACTGCAAGCTTCGCCTCCCGGGTTCACGCCATTCTCCTGCCTCAGCCTCCTGAGTAGCTGGGACTACAGGCGCCCGCCACCAGGCCTGGCTAATTTTTCTTTGTATTTTTAGTAGAGACGGGGTTTCACCGTGTTAGCCAGGATGGTCTCGATCTCCTGACCTCGTGATCCGCCCGCCTCGGCCTCCCAAAGTGCTGGGATTACAGCCGTGAGCGACCGCGCTCGGCTGAAAGCTCTAATTATTAAGCCAAATTTCCTTCATGAAATAAGCCCCAGTTTTTGAAAATGCATCTATTTTCACCCTATCTTATAACTACCAGATATTTTAAGACAAAGTCTGCGATGGAATATAAAGTAAGCCTTTAGGTTATTTACATATATTAACTCTTGTTTTATAGCATTTAAACT
This sequence comes from Homo sapiens, assembly GCF_000001405.40. Taxonomy (NCBI): domain Eukaryota; kingdom Metazoa; phylum Chordata; class Mammalia; order Primates; family Hominidae; genus Homo; species Homo sapiens. The sequence continues at coordinate 22,075 of NW_013171802.1, read as the reverse complement.
TGTTTCATATTTAAAACTTATTTAAGTTTTAAATTAAACTTATTAAAGGTAAACCTTTGAATCCATTATGATGTGTTAATGCGAAGAGGCATGTAAGTTGTATATTCTGATAAATGACCAATGTAGGCCATATAGTTAGAGCACATTTGAAGAAATCCAATTCTAATACACATTAATTGCTGAGTTGTCTTAGCAGCTGGACTTATTAACTGGCAAGTTAACAACTAGTAACTTAGCAACTTACTAACTGGACTACCATGTAAAGAAATTGATTTAAAGGAGGATAACAAAATTAGTTAAGATTTATGAATGCTTGTGCCAATTTCTATTAAAGTTAAATACTTTTAAAATTGGTTTTAATTTTGTGCTCCACTGGACTTCAAATTCTTTGGAATCACAAGAACATATGAATCCTAAACGTATTCTGAAAGTAGAAATTAGAGCTTTTTTACAAGTTACTGGTTGTTCAGAAATCCAAATTTTCATGCTTTAATATAATAAAAGTTTCCAAATATGGCAACATTTTTAGATTCATAGCAACAGATGGCATGTTAGTTTAGAATTTAAATTGTGAATTGTATTACAATTATTAGCTTAAGACTGGAAAGGTAATAGCATTTTTGTATTCTGTATGAAAACCTCTAAAGTTTCTAGGTGGACAAGTGTTTAAACAGAATTAACACAAAGTACATTTGTCAATTGTTTTTTATTTTCATTGCATCGTGACCTGAATAAGCTTTAAAATGTTACAAAGTTAGAAGGCAAAGTAAAATTTGGTTTATTTTAAACCAAATCATGAAATTCAGATTAAGCTAAATTTTGTTCCACTCTAGTGTGTAGCTTACTCTAATGACTCAGTCTTAAGTCTGGGAAACAGTAAGTTCTAGTATATTATAAAAGTATATTTTATGTACTTTAAGTAGTTTAGGACACAGAAAAAGTAGTATTCACCCACTGTAAAAAATTAGTAATAAAATAGCAAATAAAAGCATATTAATTTAGTTCATTTGATTGGTAACAATTTGTGCCTGACACTGTTAAAAGCCTTAGTTTAGAACCTTTAAAAGTATTCTATAGGTAGAAATTATAGATGGTTCTATTAAAAATAAGTATTGTCTTATTTATTTTAGCTCAGTTTGGCATTTCTTATATTTAGAGAAAATAATTTTAATTAATTTTTAGAGAAAATGAGGAGTTTTAGCCATTGTTGTGTCTCTAACGTGCTGTTTGTTACATAGGTTACTGACCTCAATTAAATCATTTAAAGGGTTTAAAAATATCTTTAAAACAAATTACTAATTACACTTATCACTAGAAAGAGAAAAACATTCAAGTTTTTTAACTCTAGTGTTCGTTTTATTTATAGCCTAGTGAAATGGAAATACCAGCAAGCTGGAATGGAAAGCTGAATTTTCCTTTTCCTTATAAGAATAACATAGCAGTGACCAGCCTAGGTTTGCTCATTACTCTATGCTGTGACTATAAAATAGAACAGTGTATTTGACTCATTTTGCAATTGTATTAAAAATGAAAAAGTGATATGATGAGGCTTTGTGTCTTCACCCAGATCTCATCTTGAATTATAAACCCCATAATCCCCACGTGTCAAGGGAAAGACCAGGTGGAGGTAATTGGATTATGGAGGCGGTTTCCCCCATGCTGTTCTCGTGATAGTGAGTTCGTTCTTACGAGATATGATGGTTTTACAGGGGGCTCTTCCCGCTTCGCTCGGCACTTCTCCTTTTTGCCACCTTGTGAAGAAGGTGCGTTGTTTCCCCTTTGGCTTCCGCCATGATTGTAAGTCTCCTGAGGCCTCCCCAGCCATGCTGAACTGTGAGTCAATGAAACCTCTTTCCTTTATAAATTACCCAGGCTTGGGAAGTTTTTTATGGCAGTATGAAAGGGGACTAATACAAAGACATTTAGAAAAAAAAGGCACTTAGTATGATATTATGTTAGGTGTATGTCCATAACTTTGCATCTAAAACCATCATTGTCATCATCATCATCATCATCATCACACTCATTACCAAGCGTTTGTTTAAATATCTAGTTGACAGAGGGTAGAGTTCAAGGACAGGGAATAGAAAGTGTAGGGTCTGTCTAGAAACTGACATTTGAGCTAAGAGTGGTAGGAAATAATGTAGTATGTTACATGAGCCATGTACAGACACAGGCAATAGGTACTAAAATTAAAACCAGCGACTGAGATTTAAAGAAAGTAAATTCTTTGGTATATGTTAAATCCTATTTTGTACTAGTTAAATAGACACCCCCCAACCAATGACCTTGTTTTCTTAAACTTTTCACAGTAGTACACTATTCAAGGTGAAAATCAAGCTCATTAAGGGATGTTTGTTTTTTTTAACAGCACTTGCCTTCAGACTTGGTGTAAACTTTCTACTTCTCTAGGGTTATCTTCAGAAACCAAAGGAACACACACACACACACACACACACACACACACACACTCACACTTTACTACTTTTGCCATAGGGATTATTACCTCTATCGGTAAGATGCTATAATGCCATATAAATGAACTGTTCATTGAGTTCTTGTGACATAGTAGCACTTTGGTGCCTTTCTTACAGGATTATATGGTTTATAGAAATATCAGGTATTTTAAAACAGGGCAGAATGTAAGTTCAGAACAGAGTTCCCTAAAACATATTCTATGGAATTATGGAATGCTGGCTATAAGGAGTGCTGATTGTGTTTTTCTAAAAAGCCTTATGGCTAAATTAATTTGGGAAATGCTGGGTTAAACAATTACTTCTTTTAGCAGTACTTCTTGGAGGCTTTAGTATGCTAATATGCATTGAAAACTGTCAAGAAGGGACTTCTACAACATACTTTATTTTAAAATGTACACTAAATTCACTTAACCAATGAAGGCTTTTGTCAAGGAATTTATTTAGGGACTGAAATTCTATGGCAATTATTCTGGATCACAGAGGCATCAGCATTAGATATAAAAACTCTGCAATTAGACAAACTAGAAAGTCATTTTACCTTTTCGAGTCCCAGGTTCTTATCTGTACATTAGGAATAATAATTTCTACCTAATGAGAGTATTACAGATTGCTAATTCATTAGAGATTGCTAGAACATAGCTTATAATAAACACTAAAAGATGCTTACTTATCAAAACAGCATTAATTGCTGAAGCAGAGATCACAAGTGCAGCCAATATAATTAATTCCTTGACACAATGTATGTAACAAGCCTAGACAAGCTGAGCAGTATGTCACCAAAGAAAACTGTGATGTAACAGAAAAACTTGATCCATTTTATATTAAAATATAAATTTTACTTTGGTTTCTGATTCGTATTTTTGTGATATATAATAGAAATACTTTTGGGGGGTATATGTGATATTTTGCTATATTCGTATAATGTGTTATAATCAAGCCAATATAATTGGAATATTCATCACCTTAAAAATTTTTCTTTATGCTGGGAACATTTGCATTATTCTCTACCAGCTGTTTGGAAATATACAATAGATTATTGTTTACGATAGTCACTCTACTGATTTATCGAACACTAGGTCTTAGCTTATCTATTTAACTGTATATTTGTAACCATTAACCGACCTCTCTCTTCATCTTTCCCCATCCACACACACACCCTGGCCAGTCTCTGGTAGTTATTATTCTACTCTCTACACCCATATTAACTTTGTTAGTTCTCACCTATGGATGAAAATGTACAATATTTGTCTTTCTGTGCTTAGCTTATGTCACTTATCATAATGACCTCCAGTTTCATCCATGTTGCTGCAAATTATAGGATTTCAATTTTTTTTAATTTCCAGATTTTTTTTTCAATAGTTTTTGGGGAATAGGAGCAGTGTACACTGTACCCAATGTATAGTCTTTTATCTCTCAGCCCCCTCCCACCCTTCTCCCTGAGTCCCCAAAGTCCATTGTATCATTCTTACACCTTTGTGTCCTCATAGATGAGCTCCCACTTATAAGAACGATGTTTGGTTTTACATTCCTGAGTTACTTCACTTAGAATAATGGTCTCCAACTCCATCCAGGTTGCTGCGAATGCCCTTATTTCATTCTTTTATATGGCTGAGTATTATTCCATGGTGTGTGTGTATAACACACATATATATATATAACTACATATAATCACATATATATCATATATAAAATGTATCACATATTTTTTGTATATAAAATGTGATATATATATCACATTTTTAAACCACTTGATTGATGGGCATTTGGGCTGGTTTCATGTTTTTGCAGTTGTGAATTGTGTTGCTATAAATGTGTGTGCAAGTGTCTTTTTCATAAAATGACTTCTTTTCCTCTGGGTAGATACCCAGTAGTGGGATTGCTGGATGAAATGGTAGTTCTACTTTTAGTTATTTAAGGAATCTCCACATTGTTTTCCACAGTGGTTGTACTAGTTTACATTGCCACCAGCAGGGTAAAAGTGTTCCCTTTTCATGACATCCGCACCAATGTCTAGTATTTTTTAAAAAAATGATCGCCATTCTTGTAGGAGTAAAGTTGTATTACATTGTAGTTTTGATTTGCATTTCCCTGATAATCAGCGATGTTGAGCATTTTTTCATGTTGGTGATTTTTATATCTTCTTTTGATAATTGTCTATTCATGTCCTTAGCCCACTTTTTGGTGGGATTATTTTTTTTTCTTGCTGATTTGTTTGAGTTACTTGCAGATTCTGGATATTAGTCCTTTGCTGGATGAACAGTTGCGAAAACTTTCTCCCACTCTGTGGATTGTCTGTTTGCTGATTATTTCTTTTGCTGTGCAGAAGCTTTTAGGTTTAATTAAATCCCATATATTTATTTTTGTTTTTGTTGCATTTGTAACCATTAACCAACCTCTCTTTTCATCTTTCCCCATCCACACACACACCCTGGCCAGTGTGTGGTAGTGATTATTCTACTCTCTACCTCCATATTAACTTTTTTAGTTCCCACCTATGAATGGGTTCTTGGTCATAAACTTTTTGCCTAAGCCAATGTCTAGAAGAATTTTCCTGAGGTTATCTTCTAAAATTTTTATGGCTTCAGGTCTTAGATTTTCTTTTTGTTATTATATTTTAAGTTCTAGGGTACGTGTGCACAACATGCATGTTTGATATATAGGTATACATGTGTCATGTTAGTTTGCTGCACCCATCACCTCGTCATTTACATTAGGTATTTCTCCTAATGCTGTCCCTCCCCCAGGCTCCCACCTCCCGATAGGCCCCAGTGTGTGATGTTCCCTGCCCTGTGTCCAAGTGTTCTCATTGTTCAATTCCCACCTATGAGTGAGAACATGTGGTGTTTGGTTTTCTCTTCTTGTGATAGTTTCCTGAGAATGATGGTTCCCAGCTTCATCCATGTCCCTGCAAAGGACATGAACTCATCCTTTTTAATGGCTGCATAGTGTTCCATGGTGTATATGTGCCACATTTTCTTTATCCAGTCTATCATTGATGGACATTTGGGTTGGTTCCAAGTCTTTGCTATTGTGAATAGTGCTGCAATAAACATACGTGTGCATGTGTCTTTATAGCAGCATGACTTATAATCCTTTGGGTATATACCCAGTAATGGGATTGCTAGGTCAAATGGTATTTCTCATTCTAGATCCTTGAGGAATCACCATGCTGTCTTCCACAATGGATGAACTAATTTACAGTCCCACCAACAGTGTAAAAGCATTCCTATTTCTCCACATCCTCTCCAGCATCTGTTGTTTCCTGACTTTTTAATGATCACTATTCTAACTGGCGTGAGATGGTATCTCATTGTGGTTTTAATTTCCATTTCTCTGATGACCAGTGATCATGAGCATTTTTTCATGTGTCTGTTGGCTGCAGGGATATCTTCCTTTGAGAAGTATCTGTTCATTTCCTTTGCCCACTTTTTGATGGGGTTGTTTTTTTTTCTTGTAAGTTTGTTTGAGTTCTTTGTAGATTCTGGATTAGCCCTTTGTCAGATGGGTAGATAGCTAAAATTTTCTCCCATTCTTTAGGTTGCCTGTTCACTTTGATGATAGTTTCTTTTGCCATGCAGAAGCTCTTTAATTAGATCCCATTTGTCTGTTTTGGCTTTTGTTGCCATTGCTTTTGGTGTTTTAGTCATGAAGTCCTTGCCCATGCCTATGTCCTGAATGGTATTGCCTAGGTTTTCTTCAAGGGATTTTATGGTTTATGTCTAACATTTAAGTCTTTAATCCATCTTGAATTAATTTTTGTATAAGGCGTAGGGAAGGGATCCAGTTTCAGCTTTCTACATGTGGCTAGCCATTTTTCACAGCACCACTTATTAAATAGGGAATCCTTTCCCCATTTCTTGTTTTTGTCAGATTTGTAAAAGATCAGATGGTTGTAGATATGTAGTGTTATTTCTGAGGCCTCTGTTCTGTTCCATTGGTCTGTCTCTCTGTTTTGGTACCAGAACCATGCTGTTTTGGTTACTGTAGCATTGTAGTATAGTTTGAAGTCATGTAGCATGATGCCTCCAGCTTTGTTCTTTTTGCTTAGGATTGTCTAGGCAATGCGGGCCCTTTTTTGGTTCCATATGAACTTTAAAGTAGTTTTTTCCAATTCTTTGGAGAAAGTCATTGGTAGCTTGATGGGGATGGCATTGAACCTATAAATTACCTTGGGCAGTATGGCCATTTTCACAATATTGCTTCTTCCTATCCATGAACATGGAATGTTCTTCCATTTGTTTGTGTCCTCTTTTATTTCGTTGGGCAGTGGTTTGCAGTTCTCCTTGAAGAGGTCCTTCACATCCCTTGTAAGTTGGATTCCTAGGTATTTTATTCTCTTTGAAGCAATTGTGAATGGGAGTTCACTCATGATTTGGCTCTCTGTTTATCTGTTATTGGTGTTTAAGAATGCTTGTGATTTTTGCACTTCGATTTTGTATCCTGAGACTTTGCTGAAGTTGCTTATCAGCTTAAGGAGATTTTGGGCTGAGATGATGGGGTTTTCTAAATATATAATCATGTCATCTGCAAACAGGGACAATTTGACTTCCTCTTCTCCTAATTGAATATCCTTTATTTCTTTCTCTTGCCTGATTGCCCTGGCCAGAATTTCCAACACTATGTTGAATAGGAGTGGTGAGAGAAGGCATCCTTGTCTTGTGCCGGTTTTCAAAGGGAATGCTTGCAGTTTTTGCCCATTCAGTATGATATTGGCTGTGGGTTTGACATAAATAACTCTTATTATTTTGAGATACGTTCCATCAATACCTAGTTTATTGAGAGTTTTTGGGATGAAGAGCTGTTGAATTTTGTCAAAGGCCTTTTCTGCATCAAGAGATACTCATGTGGTTTTTGTTGTTGGTTCTGTTTATGTGATGGATTACATTTATTGATCTGTGTATGTTGAACCAGCCTTGCATCCCAGGGATGAAGCTGACTTGATCATGGTGGATAAGCTTTTTGATGTGCTGCTGGATTCAGTTTGCCAGTATTTTATTGAGGATTTTCACATCGATGTTCATCAGGGATATTGGTCTAAAATTCTCTTTTTTTGTTGTGTCTCCTCCAGGCTTTGGTATCAGGATGATGCTGGCCTCATAAAATGATTTAGGGAGTATTCCCTCTTTTTCTGTTGATTGGGATAGTTTCAGAAGGAATGGTACCAGCTCCTCTTTGTATCTCTGGTAGAATTCGGCTGTGAATCCCTCTGGTCCTGGACTTTTTTTGGTTGGTAGGCTATTAATTATTGCCTCAATTTCAGAGCCTGTTATTGGTCTATTCAGAGATTCACCTTCTTCCTGGTTTAGTCTTGTGAGGGTGTTTGCGCCGAGGAATTTATCCATTTCTTCTAGATTTTCTAGTTTATTTGTGTAGATGTGTTTACAGTATTCTCTGATGGTAGTTTGTATTTCTGTGGGATCAGTGGTACTATCCCCTTTTTCATTTTTTATTGCATCTATTTGATTCTTCTATCTTTTTTTCTTGATTAGTCTTGCTAACGGCCTATCAATTTTGTTGATCTTTTCAAAAAACCAGTTCCTGGATTCACTGATTTTTTTGAAGGGTGTTTTATGTCCCTATCTCCTTCAGTTCTGCTCTGATCTTAGTTATTTCTTGTCTTCTGTTAGCTTTTGAATGTGTTTGCTCTTGCTTCTCTAGTTCTTTTAATTGTGATGTTAGGGTGTCAGTTTTGGATCTTTCCTTCTTTCTCTTGCGGGCATTTAGTGATATAAATTTCCCTCTACACACTGCTTTAAATGTGTCCCAGAGATTCTGGTATGTTGTGTCTTTGTTCTCATTGGTTTCAAAGAACATCTTTTTTTGCTGCCTCAATTTCCTTAGTTACCCAGTAGTCATTCAGGAGTAGGTTGTTCAGTTTCCATGTAGTTGTGCAGTTTTGAGTGAGATTCTTAATCCTGAGTTCTAATTTGACTGCACTGTGGTCTGAGAGACAGTTTGTTGTGATTTCTGTTCTTTTACATTTGCTGAGGAGTGCTTTACCTCCAATTATGTGGTCAATTTTAGAATAAGTGTCATGTGTTGCTGAGAAGAATGTATATTCTGTTAATTTGGGGTGGAGAGTTCTGTAGATATGTATTAGGTCCCCTTGGTGTAGAGCTGAGTTCAAGTCCTGGATATCCTTGTTAAGCTTCTGTCTTGTTGATCTAATATTGACAATGGGGTTAAAAGTCTCCCATTATTATTGTGTGGGAGTCTAAGTCTCTTTGTAGGTCTCCAAGGACTTGCTTTATGAATCTCGGTGCTCCTGTATTGGGTGCATATATATTTAGGATAGTTAGCTCTTCTTGTTGAATTGATCCCTTTACCATTATGTAATGGCCTTCTTTGTCTCTTTTGATCTTTGTTGGTTTAAAGTCTGTTTTATCCGAGGCTAGGATTGCAACCCCGGCTTTTTTTTTTTGCGTTCCATTTGCTTGGTAGATCTTTCCGTATCCCCTTATTTTGAGCCTATGTGTGTCTCTGCACGTGAGATGGGTCTCCTGAATACAGCACACTGATGGGTCTTGACTCTTTATCCAATTTGCCAGTCTGTGTCTTTTAATTGGAGCATTTAGCCCATTTACATTTAAGGTTAATATTGTTATGTGTGAATTTCATCATGTTATTATGATGTTAGCTGGTTATGTTGCCCATTAATTGATGCAGTTTATTCATAGCATGTATGATCTTTACAATTTGGCATGTTTTTGCAGTGGCTGGTACTGGTTGTTCCTTTCCATGTTTAGTGCTTCCTTCAGGGGCTCTTGTAGGGCAGGCCTGGTGGCGACAAAATCTCTCAGCATTTGCTTGTCTGTAAAGGATTTTATTTCTCCTTCACTTAGGAAGCTTGGTTTAGCTGGATATGAAATTCTGGGTTGAAAATTCTTTTCTTCAAGAATGTTGAATATTGGCCCCCACTCTCTTCTGGCATGTGGGGTTTCTGCCAAGGGACCCACTGTTATTCTGATGGCCTTCCCATTCGTGAGTAATTTGACCTTTCTCTCTGGCTGCCCTTAACATTTTTTCCTTCATTCTGACCTTGTTGAGTCTGACAATTATATGTCTTGGGGTTTTTCTTCTCGCGGAGTATCTTTGTGGTGTTCTCTGTATTTCCTGAATTTGAATGTTGGCTTGTCTTGCTAGGTTGGGGATTTTCTCCTGGGTAATATCCTGAAGAGTGTTTTCCAACTTGGTTCCTTTCTCCCTGTCACTTTCAGGTACACCAATCAAATGCAGATTTGGTCTTTTCACATAGTCCCATATTTCTTGGAGGGTTTGTTTGTTTCTTTTTACTCTTTTTTCTCTAACCTTGTCTTCTCACTTCATTGCATTCATTTGATCTTCAATCACTGATACCCTTTCTTCCACTTGATCAAATCAGCTATTGAAGCTTGTGCATGTGTCATGAAGTTTTTGTGCCATGGTTTTCAGCTCCATCAGGTCATTTAAGGTCTTCTTTACACTGTTTATTCTAGTTGGCCATTCGTCTAGCCTTTTTTCAAGATTTTTAGCTTCCTTATGATGGGTTCGAACATCCTCCTTTAGCTTGGAAAAGTTTGTTATTACCAACCTTCTTTTTTTTTTTTTTTTTTTTTTTGAAACGGAGTTTCGCTCTGTAGCCCAGGCTGGAGTGCAGTGGCGCGATCTCGACTCACTGCAAGCTCCGCCTCCTGGGTTCACGCCATTCTCCTGCCTCAGCCTCCCGTGTAGCTGGGACTACAGGCGCGCGCCACCATGCCCGGCTAATTTTTGTATTTTTAGTAGAGACGGGGTTTCACCGTGTTAGCCAGGATGGTCTCGATCTCCTGACCTCATGATCCGCCCGTCTCGGCCTCCCAAAGTGCTGGGATTACAGGCGTGAGCCACCGCGCCCGGCCTTTACCAACCTTCTGAAGCCTACTTCTGTCAACTCATCAAAGTCATTCTCTGTCCAGCTTTGTTCTGTTGCTGGCAAGGAGCTGCAATCCTTTGGAGGAGAAGAAGCACTCTGGTTTTTAGAATTTTCAGCTTTTCTGCTCTGGTTTCTCCCCATCTTTGTGGTTTTATCTACCTTTGGTCTTTGATGTTGGTGACTTACAGATGGGGTTTTGGTGTAGATGACGTTTTTGTTGATGTTGATGCTATTGCTTTCTGTTTGTTAGTTTTCCTTCTAACAGTCAGGTCCCTCAGCTGCAGGTCTGTTGGAGTTTGCTTGAGGTCCACTCCAGACCCTGTTTGCCTGGGTATCACCAGCAGAGGCTGCAGAACAGCAAATATTGTAGAACAGCAAATATTGCTGCCTCATCCTTCCTCTGGAAGCTTCATACCAGAGGGGCACCCACCTATATGAGGTGTATTTCAGCCCCTACTGGGAGGTGTCTCCCAGTTAGGCTACAGGGGGGTCAGGGACCCACTTGAGGAGGCAGTCTGTCCATTCTCAGAGCTCAAACACCATGCTGGGAGAACTACTGCTCTCTTCAGAGCTGTCAGACAGGGACGTTTAAGTCTGCAGAAGTTGTCTGCTGCCTTTTATTCAGCTATGCCCTGCCCACAGAGGTGGAGTCTATAGAGGCAGTAGGCCTTGTTGAGCTGCAGTGGGCTCCGCCTAGTTCAAGCTTCCTGACTGCTTTGTTTACCGACTCAAGCCTCAGCAATGGCGGACGTCCCTCCCCCAGCCAGGCTGCCGTCTCGCAGTTTGATCTCAGACTGCTGCGCTAGCAGTGAGCAAGGCTCCGTGGGCATGGGACCTGCCAAGCTAGGCATGGGAGAGAATCTCCTTGTCTGTCAGTTGCTAAGACCTTGAGAAAAGCACAGTATTTGAGCAGGAGTGTCCCGTTTTTCCAGGTACAGTCTGTCATGGCTTCCCTTAGCTAGGAAAGGGAAATGCCCCAACCCCTTGCACTTCCCATGTGAGGCAACATCCCGCCCTGCTTCAGCTCGCCCTCTGTGGGCTGCACCCACTGTCCAACCAGTCTCAGTGAGATGAACCAGGTACCTTAGTTGGAAATGCAGAAATCACCCATCTTCTGCGTCGGTCACACTGGGAGCTGCACACTGGAGCTGTTCCTATTCAGCCATCTTGGAACAGCTATCTTCAGATCTTAGATTTTAATCCATTTTAATTTGACATTTGTATATTATGAGAGATAGGGATCTATCTTCTGCATATGGTTATCCAATCATTCTTCTGCATATGGTTATCCAATTTTCCCAACACCATTTATGGGAGAGATTGTACTTTCCCTACTGTATATTCTTGGAAACTTTGTCAAAAATGAGTCAGCTATAAATGGAGGGATTTATTTACAGGCTCTCTATTCAGTTCCTTTGGTTTATGTGTCAGTTTTTATATAACTACCATGCTATTGTGGTTACTGCTAATAGCTTTATAGTATATTTTGAAGTCAGGTATTGTGATGCCTCCAGCTTTGTTCTCTTTGCTCAGAATTGCTTTGGCTATTCAGGGTCTTTTATTGCTTGGTACTTGTTTTAAGATTTTTTTTTATTTCTGTGAAAAATGTCATTGGCATTTTGATAGGGATTGCATTGAATCTGTACATTGATTTGGGTAGTACTGACATTTTAATAGTATTAATTCTTCCAATTCATGTTCATGGAATATCTTTTTATTTTTTTTTCTGTCCTCTTCAATTTCTTTTACCAGAGGTTTTACTTTTCCTTGTAGAGATCTTTCCCTTTTTTCGTTACATTTATTTTTAGGTATTTTATATTTTTTCTAGAGATTTTAAATGGCATTGCTTTCTTGATATTTTTTTTAGATTGCTCACTCCTACTGTATGTAAATGCTACTGATTTTTTGTACATTTTTTAAATCCTGTAACTTTACTGAGTTTGTTTTTTAGTTCTAACAGTTTTTTTGGTAGAGTCTTTAGGGTTTTCTAAATACAAGGTTATGGCTTCTGTGAACAAAGATAATTTGACTTCTTTGTTTTCAATTTGGATGCCTTTTCCTTTTTCTCTTGCGTGATTGATGTGACTACAGCTTCCAGTATTATATTGAATAAAACTGGTGAAAGTGGGCATCCTTGTCTTATTTCATATGTTAGAGGAAAGTATTTGGATTTTTTCCTGTTAAGTATGATGTTAGCTGTGGGCTTGTCATATAGGTCTTTATTTTCTGGACATGTGTTCCTTTTATATCCATTTTTTTTTTGGTGGGGAGAGTGGGAGGTTGTTTATCATAAAGGAACATTGAACTTTATTGAATGTTTTTTCAGCATCTGTTGAAATGGTCATATGCTTTTCGTTATTAGTTCTATTAATCCAATGTATAACATTGATTTATTTGCATATGTTGAGCCATCCTTGCATCCTTAGGATAAATCCCACTTAATCATGATAAATGATCTTTTTAATATGTTGGTGAATTTGGTTTGCTGATATTTTGTTGAGGACTTTTGCAACTATCTTCATCAGGAATATTGGCCTGTAGTTTTTTTTGTTGTGTCCTTGCCTGATTTTGGTATCAGGGTAATGCTGGCCTAATATAATGGGTTTGGAAGTATTCCCTCCTCTTCAATTGGTTTGAAGAGTTTGAGTAGAATTGATATTAGTTCTTTAAATATTTGGTAGGATTCATCAGTGAAGTCATCAGTTCCTGAGCTTTTCTTTGATGGAAGATTTTTTTTTTAATTGTTGCTTTACTCTCATTACTTATTGGTTTATTCAGGATTTTTATTTCTTCTAGATTCAATCTTGGAGAGTTGTATGTGTCCAGGAAGTTATTCATTTCTCCTAGATTTTCCAGTTTATTGGCATCTAATTGTTCATAATAGTCTCATTATATATTGTACTGTAATTGTGATATTGTACTAAAGCTATATATATATATATTTTTTTTTTTTTGAGACGGAGTCTCGCTTTGTCACCCAGGCTGGAGTGCAGTGGTGTGATTTCGGTTCACTGCAAGCTCTGCCTCCGGGGTTCACGCCATTCTCCTGCCTCAGCCTCCCGAGTGGCTGGAACTACAGGCGCCCGCCACCATGCCTGGCTAATTTTTTTTTGTATTTTTAGTAGAGACGGGGTTTCACCGTATTAGCCAGGATGATCTTGATCTCCTGACCTGGTGACCCGCCCACCTTGGCCTCCCAAAATGCTGGGATTACAGGGGTGAGCTACCACGCCCGGCCCTATAGCTATATTTTTTATATTAACAGTTAGGGAAGTTGATTCAAGACTACAAGGGACTCTTACAACCTTCTGTGAGACTATAGTTATTTCAAAATAAAAAGTTTTTTAAAAATGTGCATGTGAGATGGGAGAGATTATTGCTACCACCTCAGAGACAAGTTGCACACACCTCCAGCTAAGTGAATAAATAGTAGTAGGGAGACTTAGAACTTGGGCCTCTGGAGCCAGGAAACTCAAATCATGATCCCAAATGATACACCTTTATTTGGTTGAGAGTACAGGGACAGAAGTCCTAGATAGCTCTAGATATTTGTTGGCAAAAACCATTAGGGGCTCTTTCTCCATTAACTCAGGCTCAGGATTTAGCACCTGTCTTTGAGGGTAAAGAGTGTACTAAATAGGGCAACTAACTGGCAAGAATTAAAGGGGAACCTAGGCAGAGACCCAATCCTGTAAACAAGACCAAATTGCAGAAAGGAATGGGCAACATGGGGATTAGGCAGAGCCAAGGAGTTTTTGCAGCAACTAACCTGAGCAGGGATAATCTGAACTAGTGGATCCTGTGTTGGTCAGTGGGACTTCTTACCAAATTCTACATTGTGGGCTTCAGAGGCAGATGAAATATACAGACTCTTGAAGATCTCTGAAATTGGGACAGACCTGAGCCCACAGAAGATGTCATGGTAAAGGGCTGGCGAATGCCTGCAGTGGAAATCAAGCAAGGGTCAAAGCACGATGAGAAAATAGGCACTTCCCTTTCCCCAAGGAATCCTAAGTTTTACGTGTTTTTTTAGAATTTTTTAATTTTTATTTTTTACCATTGCATCTTTTGCACGTTTTCAATTTAGAGATGACTATGTCCCAGCTGCTCAGGAGGCTGAGGCGGGAGGATCACCTGAGCCTGGGGAGGTTAAGGCTTTAGTGAGCCATGATTGTTTCACTGGACTCCAACCTGGATGACAGAGATCCTGTCTCAAAAAAATAAAAACAAAACTACAAAGTACTATACAGATTGTCCCAGACTTATGACTGTATGTCAGTCGACTTACAATTTATTGGCTTTGTGATGATATAAAAGTGATACACATTCAATCGAAACTGTAGTCAAAATTTTGAATTTTGATCTTTTCTGGGGCTAGCAGTATGCTTCATGATCTTCTTTCTTGTGATGCTGGGCAGTATCAGTGAGTTGCAGCTCCGAGGCAGCCATAATATCACGAGGGTAACTAACCAGTACTCTACAGTGTACTCTGTACCAGATGATTTTGTCCAACTGTAGGCTAATGTAATTTCTGAACACCTTTAAGGTATGCTAGGTTAAGTTAGGGTGTTCAGTAGGTTAGGTGTATTAAATACATTTTTGACTTATGATATTTATCAAATTATTGTTCAACTGTACTGCAATATGCTTGTCAGCATACCATGGCCTTCCCTGCCTAGTATTGCAATCTTCCAATAAGAATCTTGTTAACACCTTTTCCTTATTTCAGTGAGTTGCCATCAAAATTAGTTGTGTTTTTTTTTTTAAATACAAAGCTCTTTGAAACTCTTTGACATAAGTGGGACTTATTTTTATTTTCTATTTGAAAATAAGCCTAGGAAAGGAAGACACAGATCTGGGCCCAGGCCATATATAGCTAACGGTCCCCTTCAAACATTGTAGAAGAATATTAAGTTACTGTGACTCCTTGCGGAAAGCACAGACATGGCCAGACCCTAGCACTAGAAAGCTCAGGACGGAGCCAGTATGATAAACTGCTGTCAGAACAACCAAAACTATTTTCTATTTTAATATAAGAGATCTGAAAATACTTTTTATTAGAAAAGGAATATACTTAAGAGTTGTGCCTGTTTTGTACTTGACCCTGAAATCTTGGTTTCATGACTCTTGCCTACAAAGTATCTTTCAGTACCTTCTAAAGAGATTTGAATGACTGAGTATGTATTGCCAGGGTCTGCTAATCACTGCTTGTTTTAATGGAAGAGAAAATACGGATACTGTTTGTATTCTGAAAGTCAGTGAAGAATTAATCAGACTTTGTTCTGAGCATTGAGTAAAGGTTTTAGTAACCAGGCAGGGAGTGGAGTGGACTTCATTAACACACCTTCACTGGGGTAACTTTTACTTGGGCTAAAACCACCAGAAAGATATTTATAATTGGCCGTACAATGTGTAGGATAGCGCCAGTGTAGGATATTTTGACTTGGTAATATAACAATGTTTTCTTTGTCATTATAGATATGGTTACATTCTGTAGATGACTTTGCAGTTGATCTTGTGATGAGTTTGCAGGTCTTTTATTGCAAGATAATATGGTAAGTAACGCAAAACAATAATTTGTATCCGCCAGAATACACTGACATACACTCGGTGGCCAAAAACTGCTTGACATTTCTGAAAACATACTTTAGATGGCAAGCCTGACACTAAGCAATGAGTGAAGGGTTTAGGTGTTTCTGCAATAATTAATATGGATAAGAAACATGGTAGAACCTCAGGAAGACTAAAGCTCTTAGTTTTGGTAGTGAGGACTGCAGGTGGTTTTGCTTGTGTTAATGAAAGCCAGAAACATTGATGATGTGGCTTAAGAAGATGTTTTGACACCTGAAGTGATTTATGGTGTAGGGCTTTAGGACTTCCTATGAAGAACCAGTTTCTTCCCCAGTGGCTTTGTGTCACCTCCCATAAAATGTCCAGTGGAAGCTTTCAGCCACATTAACTATTTGAGCACTGTAATCTCACAATGCATGGTGACCACAGCAGTTTTGGCCAAAGGCCTGGATAGAAAACCCTGGCAACTCAAGAGATCAAGCAACCTGAATGGTTTGGGCTCTCTAGGAAAGTATTCAGAGGGTCTGCTTCTTTAAACAAAAAACAACAAAACTCTTCCCATTTCTCACTGAACCATCATTGATAAGGGCTCCTGGTGTCCTCCCTGTCTGTTCACCTTAAGAGAGGGGCACAGAAGCCTCTACTTAGCTGCTGTTTCTGAGCCACATTGTGTGGAGGAAGGAGGGTACTCAGACAAACAAGGCTCACTAACCATTTGTTGTACTGTTACAAATTGGGCCGAGCCCTAGGTGTCTTTTCTAGCACCCTTGAAAATAGCATCCAATTCTTTGGCTAATTCCAGGCGAGGTGAAGAACTATGGTAAGCAGTAGCATCATCACCATGGAAAACCAAGGTATATGGGAAAAGTTAAAGATGTGGTGTTCTTGTAACTGTGGCTTATAATCAATGGAAGTAAGGCCCCTATTTACCAATAGTAAAGAGCATTTGTGTTTAGACTTCAAACTGCAGCCCTTCCTGGGTTCTGCTTAAACTTGATTTTTAGTTTCTTGAAGTGGTTTTGGAATTATAGTTGAGATAAAGATAGTAATATCACAATATAGATTTAGCTTTTAAATTGCATCAAGTAATATTGGAAGGCTTTAAAACTTACTTTAATATTCAAGCATAGAACAGGAGAGACTCAGACTATTTATACTTTCGCATTGGAGCTTGAATTGTGTACAAGTATGTATGTGAGTGTTTTGAATGTTTTCTGTTAGGTTTTTAGCTACGATAGGGCACATCAACTTATTTACACTCCAGCATAGTGAGCAGCAGCATAAGCCTTGGATCTGACAAAGCCGTGATTCTGTGGGAACATTTATATCACGTTTTCTGTCTCTCTCTCCTAAAGGGCGACTGAGGGAACCGATCCCTCTGGGACTTTTGCATGAGTCATTTGGCAGTCAGCATTGCTGCTTGTGAGCTATTGACAGGCAGTAGCCACTCCTCCCTCACCATTCCCTGTTCTGAGAAGCATACCTTTATCACTTCCATGCTTTTCTTCTTCTGTTCTGAAATTTTTTTAACAGAAAGGGTGTGTGTGTGTGTGTGTCTGTGTGTATGTGTGTGTGTGTGTGTGTGTGTGTGTAGGGTGAGAGAGGAAGAAAAACAGGTGATTTATATGCTTTAAATTCCTTTTCATTTTGCAAGGAGACCACATGCCATTTCCAAGACAGAGACATCCTGTGAGAAACAGATTTCATTAGAGAGTCTGAAATGACAGGAATGGTTTAAATTCAGCATCGAGGAAGAGAATGCTGCCTCTAGGTAATGCACAGCTAAAGTGGTTCCAAATGTTTTATCTGATGCCAGCTGTGCAGCCTTCTGGATAAATCATTTCACATCATACACTTCAGAGCATCCAGTGCGGATGTATCCCCCTGCCACAGAGATCCTTAACTGGAAACAAGCAGCTACTGCACTGCTACTGCCCCAAAAGGAGCTGCTTCCTCACCCCCTCACCGTTTCAGCATTTCCAGCACCATCACCTCATCCCAACAGCTCCATGACGGAACTCAGAGTGATGCAGACCAATAAACTCTGCCCATTGGGACTGAGTTTCCCTGAGTACACTAGCCATTCACTCCTATTTATTTTCCTTTAGACATGGTGAATCATCTTTTGTGCCGTCTTACATTGTGTGACTCATTGCAGTCTATTTTCTGCCCAGGCTCAGCCCAGTGGCTCATTTCTGGAGAGGCCCCTTCCATGTCTTAAATGTCATGGATCACAACATTGTACTTTGTAGGAATCCCAAGCTCGCTTCACCGGAGATTAGTGTAGTTAATCAGTAAGAGGATGACAAAGAAATTGCCTTTGTATGGATGAAACTACCCAGGTCTCTCAGACACTTATTTTAAGACCATAATTTGCATATTGCTTTGTGGTGATGACAGTGTTGGACTTTGTAATTTCATTCCCTTTGCTTTTATCAGGAGACACGTGTATCAAATGCAGCATGTGAAATCAACATCTGCTTAAAGAAGTTTCCAGCACAAACCTTAGCTAGTGGTGGCCTTTGCTAATGGCCTCCCTTCCCCTCCCCTCTGCTCTTCCACTTACCTTTTCTCCATGTACATGTTGGAGCAAAATAATTTTTATTTCTTCTTGATGCTCTTTCTAATTTATGACAAAATAGCTTTTCCAGATGACATATTACTAGTTAAATCAGAAAAAAAAAGAGTTTGTCCAGTATACTTAGAAATGATAAACTTCACATTCTCTGGAGATTTGAGGAGCTTTTGGTGTCTGTCTTTGATAGTAAAGGAACCAATAGTAGTCTCTGCTTCTCCTAAAGGGCCAGGAAGAGATGCAGAAAAGTCTGGTGTCTGTGTCAGGTGTGAAGGAATGAGCTTGGCTGCCTGCATACCTTGGCCACGATTCCTGATGGCTAGGCTGGCTGTGGCTATTGGGCAAATGTTGAATCTTAGCAGCAGAACAAAGCAAATCTTTTTCCAATTGTTTTATTTAATCACATTTGTTTTTCAGGGCAAATTTTGGGTTTATGCAAGGGTAAGACTCAGCTTTTCCTGGATTAGGAAATGGATTATAAAATATTTTGCTGGGTCAGTACACGAAATACCTCACCCTGAGATGAGCTCAGGCGCTTGCTCAAGGCCCGAATGCCTCGAAAGTTTAGGTTCTGAAGAAAACATGACAGGAAACAATTGCGTCTCCATGCTAGACAGTTACCTAATGAACAAAAGAGGTCCTATGTAATCTATGCAACAGTCCTGGTGAATGGAGAGTGTTGCTTTTAATAGAGTGCTCTCGACAAAGCCATCACGCGGGCTTAGAGATATGCAGCCCAGAGAACGTAAGGCATGCCATGCTTTTGCTGTGTGTTTTAAATTAGCTTAGTCAAGCTATAAATATTTTTGGTAATTTCTAAAAAACGAAATGTTTCTGTCTAAGCCAGAAGACTGGGTTGTGCAATACAAATTAACTTCTTATGGAGTTGAGGTCTGGAAAAGAGGATGGAAGTATGTTTCTGCCCCTGGCTGGCCCAATAGGGTTAATTATAATTGGTCAAATTTGCTCTAATGATTTCTCAGTTACTTCAGGAATGAAATTCACATTTCTGCCCATGAACTCTAATGACCTCCATGGAATGCCCATGCCAGCTTCATATAAGTGTCTGCATCTCTTGATGCACACCTTTTCATGAGCTGCTTCTATCTGATTGGTTTTGCCTCATCTCAATGTACTTTCTCTAACTAGGGTAATTTCTGTCTTCCTTTCTGCCATGTCCTGGGTCTTCATTTCACTTGTCAACACCAACTGAGACTCTATTTATTTATTTATTTATTTATTTATTTATTTATTTATTTTTTGGGGGGACAGGGTCTCACTCTGTCACAAAGGCTGGAGTGCAGTGGGGTGATCTTGGCTCACTGCAACCTCTATCACCCTGGTTCAAGCAATTCTCGTGTCTCAGCCTTCCGAGTAGCTGGGACTACAGGTGTGCGCCACCACGCTTGGCTAATTTTTGTATTTTTAATAGAGATGAGGTTTCACTATGTTGCCCAGGCTGGTCTTGAACTCATGTGTTTAAGTAATTTGCCCTCCTTGGCGTCTCCAAGTGCCAGGATTACAGGCGTGAGCCACCGCACCTGGCCCCAGTAGAGGCTCTTATTCTAAGAACCTTTTCTGAAGAAATTTGAACAACTTCTAATCATTTATGCTTACTCCTCTCTTTTCATTCTGTAATGATTATATATACAGTAGACAATTGGCATTAACTAAAGATCCATTCTGATGGCCATTGGAACAGGAAAATGCAACAATACCATATGATATTAGAATGATGATGATAGAGAGTGTGGAAATGAAATGACATATATGTAGCATTTATTCTCTTTCTTCTCTCCTTCTATTGCCTCACTGCCTGAAAGAGATAAGGAATCATCAAAGATGAAGTTCTTGAACTGGACACACCTGCGCTGGAAACATTGGGCTAACTGATTGATGCTGAGATTTTTCTAGACTTTGGAACTAGTTTTGATGTCTTAACTGGAGCTCTGGTTAACCAGACTTCTGCTGGGGCTGTGGCGGCATTACCTGTGGGTATTGTTGGAAGTAACCACGTTAGGGTTGTGTGGGAAGGATACAAAAAAGAAACAAAAGAAACATAAAATTCTACAGTACTTCAGATCATCTTTTTTTTAGACAAGGTCTCACTCTCACCCATGCTGGAGTGCAGTGACATGATCACAGCTCGCTACAGTCTCGACCTCTCGGGCTCAAGCCATCGTCCTGCCTCAGCCTCCCAAGTAGCTAGAACTACAGGCATATGCCACAATGCCCATCTCATTTAAATTTTTTTTGTAGAGATGAGTTCTCATTATGTTGCCCAGGCGTATCTTGAACTCCTGGGCTTGAGCGATTCTTCCACCTCGGCTTCCCAAAGTCCTGGGATTACAGGCGTGAGCCACCATGCCCAGCGTATCATCAAATCTTTATCGTGTGTTGGATTGTGTCCTGTGCTGTGATGGATACCATCCAGTAGCAGTTACACAACTACACTTTTTTGTCCTAATGATTGAAAGGGGCACAATATTATGGGAATTGGATTGAAGAAGTCGGTTGGGTATGAGAATTTAGATGTAATAACAGGGTGATGAGATGTAGAGAGCTTGAATTGGTTGCAGGTGAATGGCTGGCAGGAAGGGGAAGGCTGGTCTGGGGTGCCATTTAGGTTTTCCTCCTGGGAGACAGAGTGGATTCTGGTGTCATTCACCTAAGAAGAATACGTCAGCCTAAATACAGCACTGGAGTCTACCAAATCTGCATTTACTGGGACCACTAAAGATGTTGCAAACTTAACATGGCCAAACCAAAGCTCTTAATTTCTATTCTTCATCCCTAAACCTACTTCTTGATCATTTTTCTCTATCTCAGACAATAGCATCCACCCTATCAAAACCTCAGGGTAATTCTTGGTTCTGTTTTTATTTGCTTTTCCCTCAACAATAACATAAATTGGTCCACTTCAAAAATATATCCCAAAGACATGCCTTTCTCTCTATCTCCATTTCTACCATGTGTCTACCTATCATAGAAGGTTAAAACAATAGTGTTTTAATGGCATAATCTTAATTCTCTTTTCTTTGAACAAAAACAGAAAACTACCATCAGAACGTGGGGCTATGAAGCCTGGGGGCTCAGGTATATCACAATGTCTTATACCCTCTTCTTTTCCAACTCCACATCCTTGAAGAGTCACCAATGAACAGTATTATGTATGTGAGATCTCACCTTGACAGGGGAGAAAGAAGACACAAGAGGACTTTGTGTAACTTTGGGGAAGGCACATTTTTTTTCCCCGTGTATTGTGGTAGGGTTTATGAGGTTATGTCTGTATTTTTGTGAGCTTCTAGGGGAATGCCCTCCTTTTCTCCTTCCCTCTTTCCTTTCCCATCCCTCCTCAGCCCAAATTCTTCCCATGAGTCCCTCTCATACCCTTAACAAGGGAATCTCAGAGCACAAATCTTATGGTACGTCCATTGGCCATTGTAGCTTTGTAGCTATTCATCTGGGATAGTTCTGTCAGAAAGAAGAGAAAATTGAATAATTCCTTCTCAATCTCAGGGAAATTCAGGGTAGAGACGAGATGGGTCAAATATTTTTTTT